>NW_025791791.1:0-261194 GCF_000001405.40 Homo sapiens
GAATTCCAGGCAAAAGTCCTACCAACATTCTTATCAATGATCTTATGCAATAGCAGGGAAACAATTAATGTAGCAGTCTATTTCATTCAGTTCTTAATTATCACTGCAGCCATGGTGATGATCCTTGGTCAAGTCCTCAAAACAAAACTATTGGAATGTTCACATAGTTACTATGTAGTGATGTTATTCTATATGTGTAGAAACAGTGGGTCAAGATGAAGGAGGTTGTCAGCACATTGAGAACAAACATGAAGATTCATAATACACACCTGTTTTGGGGTCTGCACTATGGCTGGTCATGTGGTAGCTGTGTGACCAGCTACCTTTAAAAGGTTTTACTGGGCAAGGGCATCTCTCACTTCTTCCTGCAATTCAAAGCTGAGGAGAAAGATGTGTCTGTGCAATCCATGCAGAGGAAGGACAAGAAAGCCACTATATGATTTGTCTATGTATAGCTTTTTCCTGCTGTTCTTGCCGTGTACTCTTTGCTGTAATAAATCTTAGCCATGAGTATAATTTTGTGTTGAGTTATATGAGTCCTTTCAGAAATTCACCAAAGTAGTAGGTGAAACTGCCAAGGCAGCAATAGTTGTTTTTTACACATGTATTTTTTTAACGTTCCATTTTAATTCCATGTGACTGGACATTTTTAATATTTTAAGATATTAAAAAACTAAGCATATTGAAGATCTATATCTTTTTACCCCAATAGTTGGATGCAATTTTATAATAATTGCTACCATTTTCATTTAAAAAAAATTTTTACTCTTTTTCTAAATCAGTCTCTCTTAGCCTATAACAACATTTATTTGTAATGAATAAAGGTACTTTGATATAAAGTAACTTTTATCAAAGGTGCTTTAAGCCTACTGATACCTATGGGAAAATGATTCATTAAAATATTAATGGACTAATGTAATACTTTGTAATTTTTCCTGAGGTGTAATAGGAACAGTATGGACTTAGAGTCACTTTCTCAACACAGAGTTAAACCCTATCTCTGTCTCTTTCAAGCCGTGTCGTTTTGACAAGTGCTGTAGGAAAAACATCACCTACCTCATAAAGTTGTTTTGAAGATTAAAGTAGACCATGTATAAAATATACTGCTCAAAGTACACCATACATGTAGATCACTAAGATAAAATTCTCCAAAACATTCATAAATTTAGAAAGTCTAAATAACTTGTTTTCTAATGCTATCGTAGATTTTAAAATTTTAACTTTTTTTCCTGTTTTCTGCTAGTATATAAAAATACAGTTGGTTTTGGCATATTAACCTTATCTGTAGTGACTATGTTTAGTCCATTTATTAGGCCTAGTAGCTGTTTTTAGATAGTTTAAGATTTTTTTACATAAACAGACTTCTAGTATGATGTTGAATAGAAGTGGTGATAATGGTAATCATTGATTTGTTTCTGATCTCATTGGGAAAGAGTTCAATAATTTGCCATTAAGTACACAGTCAACTGCAGGTTTTTCATAGGTTCCCTTTATCAGATTGAAGAAATTCCCCTCCAATCTTACTCTACGCAAAATTCTTCTTAGGTATCAGTATTGAATTTTGTCAATTGCTTTTTATGCATCTATTAGGATAATCATATGGCTTATCTTTTCTATTCTATTAATATGATGAATTATACTGATTGATTTTTGAGAGTTAAAACAGCTTTTTGTTCTTTAGATAAAGCCTCCTGGGAATGATGTATTATCCTTTTCATATATTACTGCTGAAAATTTACACGAGACGGATTTTCTTTTGGATAAAGCTATTTCACAAGTATATGTATTTGCTGCAGATTATATGTTAATTTCAAGCTTGAGATAACTCATTGTCCCTCATGTAACCTCTTTTTTTTTTTTTTTTTCTTCTTAAATCCCACTGACATTTTGTCTACAACATGGATTTGTTTCTGTCAGGTAACTTAAGAACTTCCATATATAACTTTCTACATGCATAGAAAACTTCACTTTGAAATTGTTTGTGTTGACATCAGGGAATTAAATTCATTTCAGGTGCTATTGTAGGCCAAATTACAGGTTTTGAGTTTATAAAGATACCTCTGACTGAGTAATGCCACCTGATAATGTGGAGCTTTAAGAGCGTTGTTTGACTTTTTAATTGAGGTTATGGCTTATTTGTGTGCTTTACATTTTTTATTAATAATACAAATTATTTATTGTCATCTGATGATATAAGTAAACATACATTTCACTTACACATTTTAATCAACTTACATGATGAGCCAAATATCGTTTGGCTAATAAAAAAAAACCTAACCAAAACATAAATTTTCACTAAAGATATAAGATTATATTCTGGTTATTCAAAAAGAAATGTTTCTTTGGATTCATTATTAACCAAAATTGGATAGGCTATTCATCAAGCATGTATTGAACGTATATTATATATAACACAATGGAATGAGACCTCTAAGGAAATAAACAATGGAAAAAAATTAAAGCACACCTTAAGGTGTTACGTTTTGTTTTGCTTTTAATTAATTATTTTTCCAGAGCAGTTTTAGGTTTACAATAAAATCAAGCAGAAGGCACAGGATTTTCCATACAACCTTGGTACCTATGCATGCTTAGCCTTTCCCATTATCAATATCCCCCACCAGAGTGGTCCATTTGTTATAATCCATGAATCAACATTGAAACATTATATCCCCCAGACTCCATAGTTCACATTAGGGTTGACTCTTGATGTTGTGCATTCTGTGAGTTGGGACAAATGGTGGACATGTAGCCACCATTCTAGTTCCATACAGAATAGTTCACTCTCCTAACAGTGTTTTTAACACACCCATCTCAAAGTATAACTTCCAAATGGGTAAAAGCATGACTCATGAATATATAAAATGTACACATGTCAAAAATTGTATTCTAGTTCTTAATTAACAAAGGAACAAGTAAGTTTTTTTTGTTTTTGTTTTGTTTTGTTATGAGACAGTCTCACTCTGTTGCCCAGGCTGGAGTGCAATGGTGTGATCTCCGCTCACTGCAACCTCTGCCTCCTGGCTTCAAGAGATTCTCCTGCCTCAGCCTCTCCAGTAGCTGGGATTACAGGTGCACACCACCATGCCTGGCTAATTTTTGTATTTTTAGTAGAGATGGGGTTTCACCATGTTGGCCAGGCTGGTCTTGAACTCCTGACCTCATGATCCGCCCGTCTCGGCCTCCCAAGGTGCTGGGATTACAGGTGTGAGTCACCGCGCCGGGCCTAATAAGAAGTTTTAATTGATATAAAGAACATTTGAAAAGTAATTATTTGTAAGTAATATTATTTGAGATCACCAGGTTAGAGACAAAACTCATAGAAAGGGATATAAAATTTTGGAATTGTATATCGTACAAGAGAGAAATTAATTTCATCTTTCTAAAAAAGTCTACAAGTTAAAGTCTAATTTTTAAAAAATCAGTTTAAAAGTCTAACTTCCCTTTCTTAAGTCTTAGACCTTGGGTAAATAGTGAGGTAATCATGTACATTCCCATAAATGATGTTTTGCTTTCATGGGACACTGAAAAAATGTGCTATTCACATTTTTTCTTATTTTCAAGGTTTAGATAATTTTTCTAACATAGATAAAAGCAATGTATACATATTATAGTTACATAGTACTTTACTCTGAAAAGCATTTAAAGTGAAGTTTTATGAAATGTTCAGAAAAGGAAAATACATTTCAACTTGGCCTTCAGGGATTCTCAGCTAGGAATTGGCAGAGATGGAAAGTGGATGGAGAAGAGATCAGAAAAAAAGGAGAGAGCTGATTTGAAGGCACAAAAGCCAGAAAGCATAGTTGTATTTTGCAATAGAAAGGACTCCAGTTTGCTTACATTGCTGGATGCATGGAAGAGAACAGCAGGCTATAAAGGCCGAGAAGATGGTTTGAGTCTGGATTGTGCCAGGCTAAAGGATTTTGACTTTTTTTGTTAGGCAATAGGGATCCCTAAAGCTTTTAGAGTCTGGATAAGGAAGATAGATCTGCTCAATAAGAAGGATGAACTAACAATAGAGTCTTTTCTAGGATGCTACTGAAGGAATTGAGAGACAGAATATACAAATGAGTGAAAGCCAGACCATATAGAAAAATAGAACCCTAACCCACAATTTGCAGCTACCAGCACAGGATGCCAGCTTGCTACACATCTGACTTGTAGGAAGTCAGAATGTTATCTCTAATAATAAATCCAGGAAGCCAAACAATAACTCCTATTACAATTGACCCCAAATGACCAGGCCTTGATTAATAACTGACAACTTTAATAATTTTTGTCCCTGCTTCCAACTTAGGACCAACTAGAGAAAGCCAGTTATACACCTCTAACCAATTCCATCGATGCTTCACTTCTAGTTAGCCACCCCACAACAACAGCCTCCAATCAGGGAATAATAGTTGAAGCCTTTCCTCTTCTCAACTATGAAGCTTCCCTACTTTTCTGCTGCACTTTGAGTCTGCCAAAATGCAAGCAATGATGGCTGATTCCTTTGCAATTAAAAACTCTGAATAAATAAACTTTGCTTGTTCTCATTCAGATGGTCTTTGTTTACTTCCATAAAATACACTACCATTAAAACTAAGGATTCTTTTTTAACTAACAGCTTTATCAAGACACATGAATCTGTCCAGTCAATATAAATTGGATCTCCTAGTGTGCCAGGCAGTGTCAGGCAGTAAAAATGTAAGCATATACACTCTTGCCCTCGGAAAGCCTTTACACTGTGTAGGATAGAAACAAGTAAATATACATCATACACTGTCAAATACAAAACTGAACCCAAGTTAAAATTAACACAGGCTGATTATTCATAAATGTGCAGGAAGAGAACCCATCTGTCATCACTTTCATTTCAGCAGAGGTACAAGGATGTTAGAAATGAGAGTAAATTTTACCTGGTAAAAAAGAAAAAAATGCTGAAAGCGTCTCTAATTGGTGAGCATTACATTAAAGTGGGATGTGGAAGCAGAGACTTATTCAGGTATATTTGAGATTAGTTGGTGTGCTGGAACTAGGTGAGCCGGCATTTTCAGAATATTTCAAAACAGGAAGTCTTATTCAATGTTAGAGACTGAAGATTTTCTGTGGCTGGCCATTTCCAGGAACAAGTCTAGCTGACGGGGTGCTTTTGTGTGGTGTGTCTGTCATAATGGTCCTTAATGGAGGCAGAGGAGCTGGTATGGCAGGAAGTTTCTCACCACAGTATACTAAGTAATGAGTTTCTGTTAGTTTTATGTAGAGAGATCTGAATTTACAGATGAGATAATGTTGGTACTGCTGGATTGGCATTACAAAAATATGAAACTGCAAAAGTGGCTGCCCCCAAGATATCTGAAGACCAATTTATTTAAATTAAAAACAATTTATGGGCTTTTATGTGTGTGTGTGTGTATGTGTGTGTGTATATATATATGTGAAATTTTCAAGAACACAGCCTACACATAAAGCAGTACTGCAGACTGTCAGTCTATAAGCTAAAATTTTGTTTATTTATATTGGCTAGTGCTAAAAAATGGAATTTTCATGCTGTTAACAGTGACCTGTTTCCCATAGTCACTACTGTTGACACATCCTTATACCAGTGTATTTCACATATCCACATTAACTAAAAAGGCTTTGGGCTTGCAAGTGTTGAAGAAATATAATTAAAAACAAAATATTCTCTCAACCCAGAAATTATCCACAAAGACAGTAGAGAAAGAGAACACTTTTATTATTGAAAAAGCATTACACCATAATATGATGCACATCACAGGAAATCCATTAAGAGATTGCAAAGACAGAAAGGAATCTCTAC
This sequence comes from Homo sapiens, assembly GCF_000001405.40. NCBI lineage: Eukaryota > Metazoa > Chordata > Mammalia > Primates > Hominidae > Homo > Homo sapiens. The sequence continues at coordinate 5,798 of NW_025791791.1, forward strand.
CCCTTATATAATCAAGTAACCCATTACATACATTTTTCAAGATGAACAATAACTAGTTGTCAAGTAAGAGGACTGACAGCACCTTTTGTCACACAGTTCATCCTAACTTTACCTTGTAATTGGGGTGACCATCTGTGTTAGCATATTGGCTATATCGAGAGAGACAAACAAACAATCAAAACCATATACCTTTATGATAGAACATAGCTTTAGCTTTGCAAATTGGAGCAAGGTGCCCACAAAAGTTAGATTATTATCCTTCCACAGAAACTGGGAGATAGGAGCACTGTCTTCCTTTATGTTAACATTTATATTAGTCTGTTCTCATGCTGTTATGGAGAAATACCTGATGCTGGGTAATTTATAAAAAAAGGAGGTTTAATTGGCTCACAGTTCTGCATTGCTGAGGAGGCCTCAGGAAAGATACAATCATGGTGGAAGGCAAAGGAGAAGCAGGCACCTTCTTCACAGGGCAGCAGGATGGAGTGAGTGCAAGCAGGGGAAATGCCAGATGCTATAAAACCATCAGATCTCCTGAGACTCACTCATTATCATGAGAACAGCATGGCGGAAAACCACCCCCATGAGCCAATTACCTCCACCTGGTCCCGCCCTTGATAGGTGGGGATTATGGTGATTACAATTCAAGGTGAAATTTGGGTGGGGACACAGAGCCAAACCATATCAGCGTTTCAAAAAGATGGCTTCCAAGCTCTGAAAGGTATTCCTGAGTCATAAAGTTGACAAAAGACCTATCTAGTTTTCAAAATAATTTCTGTACATTTCGAAGAGAGGAGAATGTACTTACAATGATAAGGTTTCTAAAGTAAATGCTCTAATAAAAATGAGGATGAAGAAGTCCCTTTCTTTATCTCAATGGGGGAATTAAGTCTCTTATTTTTAATTTTTATTTATTCAAAAGTACCCCAACAAATTCACCTGAATTGCCCCCTCCAAAATGAAGTAGCTTAAGATGACATTTTAAAAATAATTCTCTTTAACAATGACAGTTGCTGGCATTTGTGTAGTGATTCTATGAACCAGTTTTAGGGAATTAAGAAACTTCCTAAATGCAGATTTTAGGGCCTTTGGTCATAGAAACCAATTAAAAAGACCTGGGATTCAGTTCAAATAGTTTCCTTCTTATCAAATTCTTTCAAGGCCATTTTGAGTCTTGTTATCCCTTGCCACTCCTTAAGAAATACCACCTATGACTACACAACCTCAGTGAAATAATAACCTCACCTAATTGCTTTTGAAATTTGCCTAATGGCTTTTGGGTCACCCTTAGGCTACTTGTTTATCCCAAACAATTAATAATTTCTAATTATGCCTGTAGTCACCTTTTTTATTTTGGCAAATGAAGTATTCCCTCTTCCATAACTGAGTGATTATCATGGCGTCAGTAATTCAGAGCATCCCCATACTGGACTCATATAAATTGCACCACAATGATGTAGCTTAAATATATTTTGAATAAGACATTAATTTTTTAAATATCTCATCACCATTATATTTAATTTATAAGCCAAAAAGAAGACTAAAACTAATGAAAATTGACAGTTAAATTTGAAATATATCTGTGACCTACTGCTATGTTCAATACATAAGCAAGTCCCAGACTTTTTTTAGTAATCAATCTTTCAGTTAATTTCCTCTTTATAGCACTACACTAGACCCCTAAGGCATGGCTAACTATCTTCAACTTAAGCGCTTCAGGCAATAAGTAGCAAAATTACTAACACAATTATGATGATTAAAGTGTTCATTTAAAAATGGTGACACCTACTTATAAGCAGCATAAGTGACAATAACTTTTTTAGTTATTTAAATTGTACAGCTGTAGCTTTAGAATTAACATAACCTGCATTGAGTAATTTGTTAAAATATTTTAGTAAGATAATAAGCTAAATTAACATAAATATTTAAGGTAAAGAGAATGCTTTAAGTCATTCTCTCAGAATAAAAGTAATTATATTTCCTTTAGAAACATGTTTTATTCACATGTTAATGTATTATTAATTCTTGGAGAAAGGCTTTCAATTATTCACTTTTTGTTTTTATTTGTTGTGATGATTTTTTACAGAACTTAGTGGAATAGAGAAATGTTTCTGCAAAGCATGTCTGGTCTATAGAAAAATAACAATTAGTATTGATTTTTATTGGGACGAACACCTGTAGTTTAAGGAAAACATGATATAATTCCTGTAGGTTATAATTCTATTTGGTTAGCTTAGCTCTTTCTTCAGTTTTCTATTCCTAGTGCCAATCCCCTGCAGCCATTGTCCCCCCAGAATAATACAGAATAGGAAACATACTGTTCTACCTGATCCATACCTATCTCCTTCAAGCTCTTCAAACATTTTAACCAGGTAGTACATTGCTGCTTCCTTCCCCCACAAAAAGGCCCATAGCCAGATGCATTGGTGCATACCTGTAGCCCCAACCACTCCAGAGGGTGGCAGGAGGATTACTTGAGGCCAGAAGTAGTGCACTATGACCACATGTGTGAATAGCAACTGTACTCCACCCTGTGCAACATAGCAGGAACTTGTCAAAAAAAAAAAAAAAAAAAAAAAAGCCAACGCTTGACCTTTCTAGCCCCTTCTCCACTACTTTCTATCTGTCCTCATCTAGACAGTTCAATTCAATTCTCTGTTAACTAAATACCATTTTCTTTTCCTGCCACCTTGTCTTTGGTTGTGATTTTGTTGGTGTTTCTTCCTGGAAGGTTCTCACACATTCTTCATCTAGCTTCCTCTCTTGCTAAACAATACTAATACCTATATTTCAACACCTAGGCAAATACTACCTATTCCCAAATACCTTTGCCTCCATAGCCAGAAGTAATCATCTCTAAACTACTATTGCCGTGAGTTTATATCACCTTCTCACACATCCATGAAAAATATAATTGCTAAATGCCTATTATGTACTAGGAAACATTTAGGTACTAGGGACCACTGATGAACAAGGTCAGATTGCAACCTCATGGAAACATAAAGTCTCTGCTAGTAGTATTCATAGACTAATTTTATTAGAGTTATATGTGTTTTTCTCCCCTCCAAGTGCATTAACTTTCTGAAAGTGGGAATAGTGTCCTTTTCATCTTTGTATCCTTACCGTGCTTAGGACAGCATCTGGAAAGTAGTAGATGGATGAATGATAAATTGATCTCACTGTGTGGAGAAAACATGCTCCATTTTATTTGAGTAACTTTGGAAGCACGGGTGCCCCCTGATTTACTGGCTTATACTTTCCCAGCTATATGGTTACTTCTCTATCTTTAGCCTGAACTCAGCCTCTATTATTAGCAGTTATTGTAAAATAACTTGGAGATTTTAAAGAGTGCAAGTGGGACTTCAGAATGTTAAGGGGAAGCTTGCAATTCACTAGTTAAGAGGAGCAGCCAAAATAAGTTATCTGAAATACAAATGTGAACACTCCATTTCCATATTGACAACTATTTATAGAAAATATTTTTTAGGATAAAACCTAAGCCAATTAACATACCTTACCAGGACCTGCATAAAATAGACTCTGTAAGGTTGTTCAATTTCATTTCCCCCATTCCATTTGCCTGGCTAACTCCTGCTTGGCTTTAGTAGTTCTCTTTCCTGCCACAAAACACACTGAAGTTTTATTTTTTGGGAACCACCTTTCCCCTATTCTCAGCCTTGTGGTCTGTGAAATTACACTTGACTGGCTGAAGTTAACTCCTGGTACCTAGTCTCCTGTATTCATTAACAGACACTCCTTATTTCCTTCTACATTCCCCAGCTATAGGCAATATTAATGTGTTTTCTATCTCCATAAATTGTCTATTCTATACATTTTATATTAATGGAATCACACAACAGCGATTTTTGTGATAACATTCTTTCACTTGGTATAATGTTTTTAAGGTTGATCCATGTCATAGTGTGTGTCAGTACTTTATTCCTTCATACGGCTGAATAAAACACCATTGTATGGATAGATCATATTTTATTTATCCGTGGATATTTGAATTATGAATTCTTTTATTTATCCGTGGATATTTGAATTATGAATTCTACAATGAATAACCATGTACAAGTATTTATGCAGACATATGGTTTTGGTTATCTTGGATATGTACCTAGAAATGGAATTGCTGGTTATATGGTAAATCTGTTTAACTATTTAAGGCACTACCAAACTGTTTTCCAAAGTGGTTACAGCATTTTACATTCCACAAACAATGTGTGAGGATTCCAATATCTTCACTGACTTCTTGACAACAAGCTGCTATTATCCATCTTTTTCATAATAGTCATCCTAGTGGGTATAAACTGGTATCTAATTATGGTTTTGATTGGCATTTCTCTAATGACTAATGATGTTGAGCATCTTTTCTCCTGGTTATTAGCCATTTGTATAACTTTTTGGAGAAGCATCTATTCAAATATTTTGCTCATGTTTTTTAAAATAAGATAATTTTTAGAGCAGTTTTAGGTTTGCTTCAAAATTGGGTGGAAGGTACAGAGATATTTTACTTACTCCCTGACCCTACACACACATGGCTTCCCCCACTTTCAATATCCTCCACTTTGTGGTACATTTATTGCAACTTGAACCTACATCGACACATCATTATCCCCAGAGTCTATAGTTTACAGTAGGGTTCACACTTGGGGTTGTACATTCTATGGGTTTGGACAAATATATAATGATATGTATTCACCATTACAATATACAGGGTAATTTCAATAACCTAAAAGTTCTCTGTGGTCTGCCTATTTATCCCTCTTTACTCTACATCCTCGTCATCATTGATTGTTTTACTGTCGCCATAGTTTTGACTTTTCAAGAGATTTATATAGTTGGAATTACATAGTATATAGCCTTTTCAGATTGGTTTCTTTCACATAGTAAGTTATGTTTACTTAATTTTCCTCTATGTCTTTTCATGGCTCCATAGTTCATTTCTTTTTCACATTGAATAATGTTCCATTGTCTTCTCCCCTGACTTTTTTACTTTTCTCATTTCATTTACTTTTCTCTTTTCAATCTGGATGCCTTCTATTTCACTTTCTTGCCTAATTGTCCGGGCTGGAACCCCTAGTACAATGTTAAATAAAATAGGCAGAAGGACAGACAACCTTGTCTTATTCCTGTTCTTAGGTTCTCAGTTTGAAAGCATTTAGTTTTTCACTATTAAGTGTGATATTAGCTGTGAGTTTCTCTTAGATACCCTCTTTCAAGTTGAGGAAGTAGACTCTGTTTCTAGTTTTCTTAGTTTTTTTTTTTTTTTTTTAATCATGAGTAGGCATTGGATTTAGTCAAGTGCTTTTTCTGTATCTATTGAATAATCATGTGGTTTTACTATTTACTCTATTAACATGGTGGACTACATTAGTTAATTTTCCATTTTAAACCAATTCTTGTGATAAATCTCATTTGATTGTGGTCTGTAATCCTTTTTATGTGTTGGCTAGATTTGTTTGTTAGCATTTTTTAAAGAATTTTTGTGTCTATATTCATAATAGGTTATTGGTGTATAGTTTTATTTTCTTGTGATGCGTTTGACTTCAGGGTAATACTACCCTCATCAAATGAGTTAGGAAGTGTTCCTTTGTTTTCTGTGTTTTGGACGAGGTTATGAGGATTAGTATTAATGTTTTCTTAACTAATATAATTTACCAATTAAGTAAGCTAGCATTAGGCTTTCCTTAGTGGGAAGTTTCACAATTACAAATTCCATCTCATCAGTTATTACTGCTCTGTTCAGATTTCCTTGAGTTAGTTTTAGTAGTTTGTGTCTTTTCTGAAACTTGTGTATTTCATCTAAATTATCTAATTTGTTGACATATAGTTGGTCATAGTATTCCTTTTTAATTATTTTAATTTTCATAATGACTGCAGTGTTCCTTCTTTCAGTGCTAGTATTTTGAATTGCCTCTCCTTTTTTCTTTGTCAGTCTAGCTAAAGGATTGTAAATTTTGTTGACCAAGGAACCAAATTTTGATTTCATTAATTTTCTCCATAACCTTTTAATTGTCTATTTTATTAATTACCACTCAATATTTATTATTTCCTTCTTCTGCTTATGTTACATTTTTCTCTCTTTTTAACAATTTCTTAAGATGGAAGTTAGCTTTCATATATGACATATTATTTTTTAAGTTTAGGCGTTTGCAGATTTACATTTTTCACTAAGGACTATTTTAGCTGTACTCTATAAGTTTTGGTATGTTGGAGTTTTTATTTTTGTTTATCTAAAGGTATTTTCCTATTTCTCTAATTTGATTTCTTTGATCCATTTATTATTTGAGTGTTTTAAAATTTCCACATATATATACAATTTATTTTTGTCATTGATTTCTCATTTTATTCTATTGTGATCACAGAACATATTATTTTTTCAACTTTTAGATCCAAGGGGTACATGTGTGGGTTTGTTACTTGGGTATATTGCATGATGCTGAGGTTTGGAGTATGAATGATCCCCACATCGATGTACTGAGCATAGTACCCAATAGTTTGGTAAGCCTTGCCGACTCCTCTAGTAGGCTCTAGTATCTATTGTTGCCATCTTTATGTCCACAAGTACCTGAGTTTAGCTTCAACTTGTAAGTGAGAACATGCAGTATCTAGTTTTCTGTTCCTGCATTAATTCGCTTAAGATAGTGGCTTCCAGCTGCATCGGTGTTGCTGCAAAGGACATGATTTTGTTAATTTTTATGGCTGCATGGTATGCCATGGTGTTTACGTTCTACATGTTCATTATTGAATCCACCCTTGATGGCACCTAGGTTGATTCCTCATCTTTGCTATTGTGAATAGTCCTATGATAAACATACAAATGCATGTGTCTTTTTGGCAGACTGGTTTGTTTTCTTTTGGATATATAACCAGTAATGAGAAGGCTGAGTCAAACGGCTGTTCTAAGTTCTTTGAGAAATTTCCAAATTGCTTTCCACAGTGGCTGAATTAATTTACATTCCTACCAACAGTGTACAAATGTTCCCTTTTTTCTGTAGCCTTGCCAGAATCTGTTGTTTTGACTTTAATAATAGCCATTCTGACTGTTATGCAATAATATCTCATTATGGCTTTAATTGGCATTTCTCTGATGATTAGGGATAATAAGTGTTCTTTCATGTTTGTTGGTCATTTGTATGTCTTCTTTTGAGATGTGTCCGTTCATGTCTTTTGATCATTTTTTAAAGCGGTTATGTGTTTTTTTTTCTTATTGAATTTTTTAAGTTCCTTATAAATTCTGGATATTAGATCTTTTTTAGATGCATAGTTTGTGAATATTTTCTCCCATTCTGTAGGTTGTCTGTTTACTTTATTGATAGTTTTTTTTTTTTTTTTCCTGTGCAGAAGCTCTTTAGTTTAACTAAGTCCCACTTGTCAATTGTTTATTGTTGTTGCAATTGTATTTGAGGACTTGGTCATAAATTCTTTTCCAAGGTCCATGTCCTGAATGGTGTTTCCTAGGTTTTCTTCTAGAATTCTTATAGTTTGAAATCTTATATTTAAATCTTTAATCCATCTTGAGTTAATTTTTGTATGTGGTGAAAGGTAGGGGCCCAGTTTTGTTCTTCTACATGTGACTACTGAGCTATCCCAGCACCATTTATTGAATAAGGAATGCTTTCTCCATTGCTTATTTTTGTCAACTTTATTGAAGTCTAGGTGGCTGTAGGTATATGGCTTTATTTTCAGGCTTTCTGTTTTGTTCCACTGATCTATATGTCTGTTTTTACACGAGTACCATGCTGTTTTGGTTACTGTAGCCTTATAGCATAAAATTGGATAATGTGAGTCTTCTAGCTTTGTTATTTTTGCTTAGAATTATTTTGGCTGTTCAGGTTCTTTTTTGGCTCCATAAAAATTTTAGAATAGTTTTTTTTTCAATTCTGTGAAAAATGCCATTGGTAGATTGATAGGAATAGTGTTGAATCTGTAGATTGCTTTGGGCAGTATGACCAATTTAATGACACTGATTCTTCCAATTGATAAGCATGGAGTGTTTGTCCATGTGTTTGTGTCTTCTGTGGTTTATTTTAGCAGTGTTTTGTAGTTCTGCTTGTAGAGATCTTTTACCCTTTTGGCAGAGAACATACTTTGTATGATGTCAATACTTTTAAATTTATTAAGATTTATTTTATAGGGTGACAATAATCTATGTGTTTTATATGCACTTGAGAAGCATGTGTATTTGCTGTTGTTAGGTGAAGTGTTTTGTAGCTATCTACCAGGTCTAGTTGGTTTATAGTATTATGCCAATCTTGTATTGTCTTCTTGACTGTCTTTTTAGTTGTTCTATCTATTACCGAAAATGGGGTAGTGAAGCTCCAGCTATAATGGTTGAATTAAATGTTTCTCTCTTAAATTCTGTCAGTTTTTGGGTTATGTGTTTTGATCTCTGTTGTTAGGTGAGTATAGGTTTATACTTACCATATCTTCTTAATGGTTTGGTCATTTTGTCATTATACAACATCTCTTCTTATCGCTGGTAACTTTTTTTATTGTTTTTTTCTTTTACAGTCTATTTTGTCTGGCACTATTATAGCCATTCTGGCTTTCTTATGCTTGTTTGCATGGTTTATTTTTTTTCCTTCCATTTTAATTTCAATCTAAAATATATTTAAAATCTAAATTATTTCTGGATTTTAAAGTATGTGTCCTATAGGCAGCATATAATTAAATGTTGTTTTTTAGCTTACCTGACAATCTATCCCTTTTCATTAATTTATCCACATTAGATTATTATTGATATATGTGAATTTATGCCTACTATTTTACCTTTTGTTTTCTATAAGTTTTATGTCTTTATTCATTCTTCACTTAATTGTTAAATTAAGTGAATATTTTCTAGTGTAACATTTTAATTTCTTTAATAATTTTCACTTTTTTGGTTATTTTTTTAGCCATTGCTCTAGGACTTGCTGTATACAATTTGATTTACCAGAATCTGCTTCATATTTGCACTCAATTAATTCTGGCAAGATATAGAAATGTTATTTGGGAGGCCGAGGTGGGCAGATCACGAGGTCAGAAGTTTGAGAGCAGCCTGGCCAACATGGTGAAACCCTGTCTCTACTAAAAATACAAAAAAAAAAAAAAAATTAGCCAAGCGTGGTGGTGGCCGCCTGTAATCTCAGCTATTCGGGAGGCTGAGGCAGGAGAATTGCTTGAACCTGGGAGGCAGAGGTTCCAGTGAGCCGAGATTGTGCCATTGCACTCCAGCCTGGGCAACAAGAGCAAGACTTCATCTCAAAAAAAAAAAAAAAAAAGAAATGTTATTTGCATATAATTCTAATCCCTCTTCCCCCATTTTGTGCTGTTATTGTTACTGATATTATATTTATTTATGATAAATTATATGCATATTTTAATACATAGTTGTTTTATAAATCAATTAAGGGCAGAGAGAAGTAAAATATATTTAATTATAATTAAATATATTTTATATTTAAATATAAATTAAATATATTTTATATTTAAATATAAATATATTTATATATTAAAAATATATAATTATAATTAATAATTATAATTATTTAATTATAATTACATATAATTAAATATATGTAATTATATCTTTGATAATTACATAATTACCTTTACCAAAGCTTTTTTCCTTTCATGTGGATTCAAATTACTTTCTGATGAAAACGCTTTCTCTGTGAAGGACTCATTTTTATTTCTTATAAGATGTATTTCTTATAAGGTGACTACTAGGAATTAACCTAGTTTTTGTTCATGATTTGTTTCTTTGCTTTAATAATTTTCACCTGTTATGGTTTTTTTTTTTTTCACTGCAGAGAAGGTCTAGAGATCACCTCATTGTATTCTACAGTGATGCACTTTGAATATTTACATTTATATTTCCCTGAAGGCAAATATAGGATTCTGAATCAAGGAAAAATATTATTACTTATAGCAATAAACAAATCAAGAGATAGAAACCAAAAATTGTGAACCTTGAAATTTATATCATATGGCTCACAAAGCAGATTTTTTTTCTTCCTAAGAGAGGGAGAAAATAATCATCTCCTTAAAGAAATTATCCATAAATAATAAAGGGTAAAATAAAGGGTAAAGGTACTTGCCCTTTGGAATAAAAATAAATCTCCACAGTAGGATTGATAATATAATTGTCTTTTGTTTACAGTCACTAAAAAATATCCACCTTTCTGGGTTTTCTCCCCCTTTGGGATAAAAATATATATCTCCAAGAAGGTATATCTTTCTGGATTTCTCTCCCTCTCTATTCTGTCATCTTTTAACAGTTCATGCTTGTATTTCAACCCAGGTTCCAGTTTTTATTGCTCAAACATCTTCACCATGCAGAAACTTGAAAGTATTCATATTTTTTTCTAACAGCCAATAATATATGCTTAATTACTTATTGTTGATGTCTTTTAAGGCTAGAAATCTAAAATAAGATCAGGATACATTTTCTTATTTTTATTTTTCATTGTTCTACCTGGTTACCAGCTTCCAGAAACCATAACCGAGGCTAATATTAGCATTGCCACTTCAGCTACCATGTCACTCAATCATTGCCTTTGGCAATTCACAACCTCATGGGGCTCAGTTTTTTAATCGTGGGAATTAAATGGTTGTCTAGATGATCAAGAAGCCCTCTAGCTAAAATTTTATGACTTTTTAAATCTAGAGGCAGGCTCATTTAAAGCAAAATGAGATAAAACATAACAAAAAGCTTGTTCACCACTCCTAGAATTATTACTGTGAAGAACAAAACTGTGTTTCAAGTTTCAAATGCTCCACTCAATCTTTTACATGCATTTCACAACTTATTCATAAGTATCTCATTTAATAATTGAATTCATTGTAGTGATAATGTGAATAAAAATAAAACTCTTGGCAAGTTTGGAGTATTTTCCAGTCTAAGATTAATTAAGCAGGTTATCTCTCACAAAAATTTGAGAAAGAGCTTTTGGTTACGCAGTAGTCAATCTCTTCTGCCTTATAATAGTCTTAGTATAATAGTGTAATAGTCTTAGTCTATTTTGTGCTGCTAGAACAGAATACCGCAGACTTGGTAACTTACCGTGAACAAAGATGTATTGTCTCACTTTTGGAGGCTGGGAAGTTCAAGATTGAGGGGCCTGTGTCTGATGAGCACCTTCTTTCTGCATCATCACATGGTAGAAGACGTCACATCGTAGAAGGGGAAAAAGAGGCAGAGAGTGAGCAAGAGGAGACCAAATTCAACCTTTTATTAAAAAACAACAACAAAACAAACAAAAAAAAAAAAAACACTCCTACAGTAAGGGCATTAATCCATTCATGAGAGTGCAGATCTCATAGCTTGGTTACCTCTTGAAAGCCACACCTCCCAATACTGCAACATTGAGTATCTAACACATGAACTTTGGGGATCACATTCAAACCATAGCAGCTTGCCTACTCTGAGAGGTGGAGAAATGGTCATCTTTTCCAGGTACTTGTTAAAAAAAACTCATGAATAGGTCATTATAAAAAACTAAACAATAAACAGACTTTCAGAAGAAAGAGAAAAGAGATTATTTGACCCTGAAAAGATGACACAGAAGGCTCTCTTGGTTTATCAGAAATTTTTAGAAACCAATTCAGATGCCTCATGAGTTGCAATTACCCTTCTTGTCTTTGGTTGTATGCAGAGTCACTTAAATAATTTCATTTTTGTACAATCTAACTTGAATGGTTTTCTATTACACCCAGTTCTGCCATCATAAACACAGACATTCTTAAAATTTATTGCACTATGTAAAATCATGAAATAAAGACAAATAGTTGCTAGCAAATGCAAAGTTAGGAACAAAATCTTCACAAATTTTATCAGCGACATATACAAATAAAAGGTAGGAAAATAATGAAAATGATAGCCCAGTTTTATACATTTTAAATGGTGAAGAAAACCATAAATACTACAATAAATATTATACTTTGTCTTGGTGGAGGGGCTGCCGTTTGTTTCTCTAAGCAAGCCTCAGATGGATTGAAGCTGGTGAGTTATCATGAAGTGGTAGAAAAGAGGTTACCACGTTTGTAATCTTTTGTAGCCATAAAACCTGGGGCATGTTTTTTCTTGCTATTGACAATGTAAGTCTTTTAAGCTATGTGTTTATACTGGATATCTATTTTATCAAAACTGAAAATTTTATATGATATATAACCTTTAATTAACTTTTGTATCACTGCTGGAAATACCTTTACTGTTTTCTAATCTTCACTCAGGGCTTTGCTTAACAGCTGAAGGCTTTGAAAATTTTAGTGGTATTTGAAAATAACCAAACCAGCCACTACTTGTGCTAAAAAGAGCTGTTTCTGCAGGTTTTGGCAATTTCTATTTAAAGTCTTAGTTTACAGATATTGCTTTATATTTGATTATGAGAAAGGATATTTATGACTTTTTGGCTCTGTTCTCCTATGCATAAGCTCAATAATCTTTCCATTACATTAAATTCTCTGGGCCTTGTTTTCATTGACTTTGCAGCACATGAAGTTTTTCTAATCAAATATTTCTTTTTTATTATCTTTAGAGCATTGTCTCTAGTGGTCCACAGTGTGGATTTCTTTAAGTCTATTGCTTGAGAACTGTTTCATGCTCTCCCATTTCTTTCAAAACATTTTATTATTTCAAGTTTCTTCTCAATATTTAAAGCTTCCTTTTCTGATGCACTGCTTGGTGTTTTCAATCAAGGACACTTGTATTTTTGGGATTTTGAATGAATGTCACAAAGGCAAAATATTACCAAATCACAGTCTTTTAGGATAACATGTTCAGTGAACAGAATGAGTTGACAGAAGAGATAGTTGAGATGTTGTGCATGTGTGTATTTTGCATATTCCTATGTGGTTCAATTCAGTTGGATACAGTTTTCTGTATGAACTTTGAATTTCTTGCAGGTGAAATTTCATGTGAACAAATGTAATACTGGCATTATTCTCAAATTATTCCCCAATAAATAAATTGCATTGGAACAAACTTGTGTTTTCAAAACAAGTGTGATAGCAGAACTTACTGTACTTGTGTCCTAAAGTGCCTTCATTAAGTCTCCTGTATTTGTCTATTTTTGAGAGCAAGACATATCATGTGATTTTTAAAAAATATATTTTTAAAAGTTTAATTATATTTGGAGGTATTTAGCCGTCTTCAAGAATATGAATTGTCTACTTTAAGATTTTGAGGAATTTTGGAATATGGAGTGTTAAAAATAACAGACTATTCTGTAACCAGAAGCATATTTTGTCTTATGAATTAGAGCTCAGACTCTAAAAATAGACTCCCTGTAATTGAATCAGCTTGAATACATTCATATTGCTATGTAACCTTAGGTAAGTTATAATAAATGATTGATGTTTCTATCTTTAGAGTAATCACTGACTCTACACACTTAATGGAAAAAAAAATCAGTCTAGAATTACCAATTTTCCTTAAAATAATGAAAAATTGTTCAGGAGAGATCATCTTTAGCCAATATATAACCTATTATTACCTTTATAATATGTAAAAGTAACATAAATGCAGAAAAGAAAACCTTGTTTATTTTATAATTTATTGTATCTTTGTCTCCTCTTCAATTCTTCATGTTGAAATGCACCATTATAAAAGGGACTATAAACAACTAATGATAAATACTAAGACTAAGTTCAATAAAAATAAATTCGTGATATTGGAATCCATAAGATCTTGGCAAACTCCTATAATGGGAATGATATTCAATAAATAAGGCTTTGTGGGCTGTGTGGTCTCTGTTGCAAAGGATTAAGTCTGCTATTTCAGCTCAAAAGCAGCCATGGACAATACAGAAATAAATGACTATGGTGGTGTTCTAATAAAACTTTATTTACAAAAGCAGAGAGAAAGATTTCGCCCACTGGCTGTAGTTTGATGACTCCATGGAATAAATCACTCAGATTTAGCAATTGACTTTTAGAATATGTACATTTCTGTAATAGTGTTAATCTGTACCAGCTCAAAAAGAGCTTTATTTCAACAGCCTCACATCCAGTATTAGCAGGTCACCTGGATTGATTAAATAATTTCTGCAGGACCTCTGCTTTAGTGGTTTTTACAACCACTAAACTTGACCCTTACAACTATACCAAAGTTACGCCTCCCCTCCATAGTGACTAATTTAATTGGCCTGAGGATGTGGTTCAAGTATCTATATTAAAAGAGAAAATACAGGTGACTTAAAAGATACAAGCATGGATTATGCAATTCTAATTTTAAGCCAGGTTTTGCTACAGAAACATTTGTTAATGTTTTAGAAGGTGTTCATTAAAGTGACTACCTAATCACTAATTATTTGACCTTAGGCACATTACTTAATATATTTGTGAGGCAGAGACTGGTAGGTAGTTTTGTCTTCAATAAAGTAGAAATGACTTGGCTCCTACCTAGATGGATCTATAATAATCATTTTGTTTAACACTTGTATGTCAGATTAAATAAACCAAATCAGTAATTATATATGCTAATTTTCTTATTATGTTCTAAGGCTTGAACATAATGTTATGCAAAATGAAATACAGTCTTTACGGAATTAATACTTATTAACTTTAATATTTACTAATATTTAACAAAGTTTTTCAACCTCACCAATATTGACATTTTGAAATGGATAATTCTTTGTTGTAAGAGGCTATTTTGTGCAATGTAGGATGTTTAGCAGCATCCCAGGCTTCTACCAACTAGATGCCAATAGTACCCCTCCTCCTGCAGTTGTAACAATCTAAAGAATTTTCTAGACACTGCCAAGTATTTTGGGAAAAATATCAGTTGAGAATTATGGATATTTACTCAAATAAGACAGGTAGTATTTTATGTAGTATGTTATAGATGACTGTGGTAGGCTTAGCATTTTATAAGATGGCTACTAGTGGTCCACATCTTCCTGTGTTTGTGGTCTTGTGTAATATTCTCCCATTCACAGTTACATACACTTAATGATTTGCTGCCAATAAATTGTCTATGACCAAAGTGGTGGAATGCCACTTCAAAGATAATATTCCAAAAAGACTCGCTTTGTTGATCCTTCTTCTAATTTTTTTAATTGACAAGTAAAAATTATATATATTCATGGTATATAGCATGATGCTTTGAAATATGTATACATTATGGAGTGGCTAAATCAAACTATTTATCATATGTACTGCCTCACATATTTATCACTTTTTCTGGTGAGAAAACAAATGCTACTATCTTACCATTTTTCAAGTATACATTTTTATTCACTATAGTCACCATGATGAACAATAGGTCTCTTTAACTTATTTATCCTGTCTAACTGAAATTTTGTGTCCTTTGACCAACATCTCCCCAGTTGCTATACTTCCTATACTCTGGTAACCACCATTTTACTCTCTGATTCTATAAGATCCACATGTAAATGAGATCATGTAGTATATGCCTTTCTGTGCCTGGCTTATTTCACTTAAGATAATGTCTTCTAGGTTCTTTCATGCTGACTCAAATAACAGGATTTACTTATTTTTTAAGGCTGAATAGTATTCCATTGGGTGTACATAACACATTTTCTTTATTCATTTATCTTTTGATAGAAACTTAGGTTGATTCCATAACTTGGCAATTGTAAATAATGCCATAGTAAACATGGCAGTGCAGACATTTCCTCAACATCTGATTTCACTTTCTTTGGTTATATGCCTATTAGTGGGATTACCGAATCATATTGTAGTTCTATTTTTAACCTTTTGTGGAACCTCTATACTGTTTTTCAAACTGGCTGCACTAATTTACCTAAGATAATTTACCAAACTTTTCTTTCATCAATTTGATATTAGCCATTTTAACAGGTATAACATGATATCTCATTGTAATTTTAATTTATATTTCCCTAACGATTAGTGACATTAAGCATTTTTTCATATACCTGTTGGAAGTTTGTATGTTTCCTTTTGAGAAATGTCTATTCAGGACGTTTGCCCATTTTTTAAATCAGGTTACTTGTTTTATTGCTATTTGTGTTTCTTATATATTTTAGATATTATTAATGACTTATCAGATGTATAGTGTACAAATATATTCTTTTATTCTGTGGGTTGTCTCTTTGTGGATTCCAAAAATATTAGAATTGTTTCCTTTGATGTGCAGAAACTTTTTAGTTTGATGTAATCTTATTTGTCTAGTTTTGCTTTTGTTGCCTGTGCTTTTGGGGCTATATCCAAAATAATTATTGCCTAGGTCAGTGTCATGGATGTTTTTTCTTATGTTTTATTCTAGCAGTTCTACAGTTTCAGGTCTTACATTTATGTCTAATTAATTTTGCACTGATTTTTGTATATGGTGTGAGGAAGGGTCTAATTACATTCTTCTGCATGTGGATATCTGGTTGTCCCAGAATCACTTGTTGAAGAGACTGTCCTTTTCCCATTGTGTCTTCTTGGCATCTTTGTCAAAAATCAATTGACCATAATTATATTGAGTTTATTGCTGGGCTCTCTATTCTTCTCCATTTAGCTTTGTATCTGTGTTTATGTCAGTACTATGATATTTTGGTTATTATACCTTTGTAGTATGTTTTGAAATCAGGTAGTGTGATATGTCTGACTTTGTTCTTTTAGCTTGAGATTGCTTTTGCTATTTGGGGTCTTTTTTGGTTTTATACAAATTTTAGGATTTTATACTTCTGTGAAAAATACTGAAATTTTGGTAGAAATTTCATTGACTCTATAAATCACTTTGGGTATTATGGACATTTTAGCAATATAAATTCTTCCAATCCATGAACATGGGATACCTTTCCATTTGTTTGTGTCTTCTTCATTTTCTTTCATCAATGTGTTACAGTTCTCAGTGTATTGATCTTTCACCTCCTTTGTTAAATTTATTCCTAAATATTTGTGTATGTGTCTGTGTGTGTGCATGTGTGGCTGTCATAGATCTTTTAGTGTTGCTATAAAAGAATACCTGAGGCTGGGTCATTTACAAAGAAAATACGTTTATTTAGCTCATGGTTCTGCAGGCTGAGAAGTACAAGAAGCATGACACCAGCGTCTGCTTAGCTTTTGACGAAGCCTTTTCATGCTGTGTTATAACATGATAGAGAAGGTCAATGGGGAAGTGGACACATGTAAAGAGGAAAACTCCAAGGGGGTACCCTGGCCTTATAACAATCCACTCTCATGGGAACTAATCTATTCCCTCAAGAACAAATTCACTCTCTCACTCACTACCATGAGAATGACACCAAGCCATTCTTGAGGGATTCACCCCCATAACCCAAGCATCTCCTAGGCACTACCTCCAAACGCCACCACATTAGGGATAACATTTGAAAATGAAGTTTGGTTGGGAAAAATCTCCTACCATAGCAGTAGCTACTGTAAATAACATTGTTTTCTTAATCTCTTTTTCTGATAGTTCATTGTGAATGAATAAAAAGTTACTAAATTTTGTATGTTAATCTTGTATCCTGCAACTTTACTGAATGAATTTCTTTATTAGTTCTAATAGGGTTTTTTTTGGTGGAGTTTTTAGGATGTTTCCATATATAAAATTATGTCATCTGCAAATGGGGACAATTTAACATTTTTCTTTCCAAATTGGATGCCTTTTATTTTTTTGCCCTGCCTGAATGCTCTAGCTAGGACTTCCAGTTCTATGTTGAACAGAAGTGTTGAGAGGGGGTGTCCTTGCCTATCTAAGATGAAAGCTTTAAACTTTTCACCATTGAGTATGATGTTAGCAATGAGTCTGTCATATACAGTCTTTATTTTGTTGATGAACATTTCTTCTATAACTAATTTCTTAAAGGTTTTTATCAACAAGACTGTGTCTTGACAATTGACATATTGCAAGAAGCCCTATGGAGAAACCCAGGTGGCAAAGAACTGAGGGAAACCTCCAGTCAACAGCGTACAATAAACTGAATACAACTAATGACTTAAATGAGTTTGAAGTGAATTCTTTCCCACTATTTCCTCTTGAAATACATCAAAGAATTTCCTTTTAGTTTAAAATTTAGATTTTGTTGTTATAATAAAACACAATCTTTAGCATGGGCTATAAGTAATTTTTTCTTGATTATTTATTGTAATATGTATCGGTCTTTTTACAGTTTTCACAAACACCTTCTTTTTCCTGTTGAGAGTGGGTGTCCTTGCCTATCTAAGATGAAAGCTTCAAACTTTTCACCATTGAGTAAAATGTTAGCAATGAGTCTGTCATATATAGTCTTTATTTTCTTCTCTAGTAGAAAAGAATCTGAGTAGCTGAAGTCTGTCACACAGGCAGTGTATGTCTACATGATTGTCCCCCAATAAACACTCTGGACACAAAGGCTTAGGTGAGCATCCTTGGCTGACACCATTTTTAATGTGTTGTCACATATCATTGCTTGAAATGACTACAGGTTTCAGTGACACCTTGTTTGCTGCTTTGTGAAAGATCCTGTGCCAGAGGACACTGTGCCTACATTTCTGAAACTCAGGAAAAGTAAGATAATAAGTGTTTACTGTTTTAAAATGCTATGTTTTTAAGTAATTTACTGTGCAGCTGTAGGTAACTAATAGAGTGATAGTTAATTCAATATAATTTATTTAAAAATTTAGCATTCTGATTTTTTTGGTAAGGCAATTTTCAGGGATTTGAGCCAACTAGCTCTCAGCTATTATAATTTTTTTCTTTGCCAGTGGTGGAAAGCCTTTCTTTACTTTTTACAATTTATCTAAAATCTCCAGTTTATGACTCTCCAGACATATGGTCACTAATGGAGGAAGGAAACGCACAGGAAAAAGAAGATATGTGTGAAAACAGTAAAAAGACTGATACACATTACAAGAAAAAATCAAGGAACAATTACTTATAGCCCACACTAAGGATTACATTTCATTATAACAACAAAATCTGATTTTTAAACTAAAAGGAATCTCTTTAATGTATTTCAAGAGGAAACAGTGGAAATGTATAATCTTAAAGAATCTTGGAGAATATAGTACTCTATGTTGATTTTGCTTTCATATAATCAAGAAAAGAGAATATATTTCAAGGTATAAAACACTAGAAAAACACATGATTAATATAGAATTTAAAACATAGGGGGAACTGTGCAGGGAAAGCTAATTCAGCAGGCCTGGATTGCTCAAATCCTCAGATTTTCCAAATAAAGATCTGTCTTCAGGACGGGTCTGAAGCAGGCTTCTAGAAGATAACCTCTGATAGCTTAGACTATTTGGCCTGATAAGAGTATGTTTATATTCTTGAGGCCTTGGGCCATGCTGTATTTGTTTGATCAGATAAGTTTACCCTAACAATGCAATTTATGGTTAATGCTTGTTTATGCTTTGGGAGTGGTAGAATCTCAGTAGCCAAAGTCTGTCACACAGGCAGTGTACGTCTACATGATTTTCCCCCAGTAAACACCCTGGACACAAAGACTTGGGTGAGCATCCTTGGCTGGCACCATTTTTAATGTGTTATCACATATCATTGCTGGAAGAATTAACTGTGTCTCTGTGTGACTCCATTGGGAGAGAATGCATGAAAGCGTGTGCCTGCTTCCTCCTGAACTTTAGACCACGTGACTTATTCCTTTGCTGATTTCAATCTGCATCTGCAAAGTTATATAATAATCTATAACTATGAATATAGCAGTTTTTCTGAGTATCTGAGTCCTTCTAGCAAATCTTCAAGCCTGAGAATTGTCTTGGGAACCTTTGACACAGAATAAATAGTAAGAATCATTATAGATGAACTTAAGGCTTCAGTTCCAGTTGAAATACATGCTAAGGTACTGAAGTAACTAGTATATCGTCCATATCACCCTTAATAATTTTTGAGCTATTATAGAAAATAAGTGCCAGAATAGCTGTGATCATCACAGATCATCAAACATGATCCCAATTTTTCAAAGAAACAACGTCAGGAACTACAAATATGTAAGCTTGATATCAGATTCTAGAAATACTCTATAATGTACTTTAGAGCATATGGTAAGCTTATTGAGAGCTGGAGTTACAGAGTAGATCTCTTATAACTGGGGAACATAATACATAGCACATAATAAATGTAACACATAATACATAGTAGGTGCTCAAGAATTATTTGTAAAACTAAACAAGTAGTGTTGGGTTGCAAGACTGAAAAGATAAGATATCATGACTAGGAATTAGCATAGATGAAGAATCAATATAGGAAGACAACCTAACTACATTGGCTGTTTTAATCAGGTGATATCTAATTAGATTGGCCAAGCATAGGAAAGTCACAGATAAAGCTTATTTGGATTTTAGCAGTGTGTTAAAATCTTTCATGATTTATTTGTTTACCAGTTGGACAAATGTAGGCCAGATGTCAGAAAAATCAAGTATTGACAGAGTTGGATGAGAGTAGATTCAAATGATTGAATGATGATTTCCCAAGAGTCATCACACAGGATTCTGTCTTAAGCCTTGTCCTCTCTAAGATTTGTATCACTGACTTGGATAAAGACAAAAATATATGCTTATAAAATTTTTAGATAACAAAAAGCTGAGAGAAATAGCTAATGTGCTGCATAACAATCAATATTAGAAAAGATCTTGACAGCAATTTGTGTGAAAAAGACTTCAGGATTTTAGTCGACTGCCAACTCCATCAGCTATAGCTGTCAAGGAAGTTAAATATGTGTTGTATATAAATGCAGTAGCATGTGTGTGTGTTTGTGTGTGTGTATGTGTGTGTGTATTTCACACATGGTTGTTAGAAATTATCTCTTAGAAAATCAGTGAGTCTAATAGAATTCACTGACAGATGTTGTCCTAATCAAAAATTCTTGGGTTTCCTCTCACAAGTCAGTTATTATGATTGTGATCAACCATGCCCTAATGTGTGCTAGTGTGACCGAAAAAGTAGTTTTCCTAAATGACCTTATTAATGCAGGAAAGTAAACTGTAAAATGGTATTAGGGCTTATTTCAATAAATATATATTAAATTGTTTAAAGTGACCCACTTTAGCAAGAATTGTTTGTTACTGGTTGCTTTCAGATCAGAAGGGAGAAAAGATGGATGACCTGCCACAGAGCCACCTGTAAGTGGAAGTGAGCAAGCAGGAAGTTTTTAGTTTATTTAAAATATCTGCCCAAAAAAAAGAAAAAGAAAAAAATCCTGTGTGAGAAGGAAGACTGTTAAATAAATAAGCAAATCATTTTAAGTGAAACAGAGAAAGGCAAAGTTTAAAAATAATGTTGGGACAATAGAAGATGTTCTAGCATGTTAAAATGGTTTCTCTGTGACCACCACCACCCTACTGTAAAGATCTGTAAGGTTCAGGAAGCTGATGGGATTCTCTTCCTGTTGCCTTCCCACGTGGGTTTCTATTGGAGCTGTGCTCTCTGTAATGCACAATGCCCTTCAGTGAATAGAGGGGTCACACACCTCGTAGCTTTACTCACTTGCTTGCAAGGGAATCTGCAAGGTAAGCATGTAAGAATATAATTACCTTTGCTAATAAGGTCCTAGGAAGGGGACCACATGTGAATACCATGATAAGCTCCTGAAGTAGGCTAGAAGGAATGCTGGATGTTAATACTTCAGCAAAAGCAGAAGGTGATTATTTTTTATGCAATTAAAAGCAGAATGTTAATTACGGCTGTGTTTGTCACAAGAGAGTAAATGTGTAAAATATTTGGGAAAATTGATCAGGGCTAGCTCCTGAAAAGACAAATTAGCATGAGTGAACTGGGGCCATCAAGTATCAATCACTGTCTTAGCATGAAATAGCAAAGATAGGCCCTAGGCTACTTGGAAGGAGTTAGGTTTATATCCTTTAAAATAATAATTTATATATATATATAGTATATATTTTACATATACATAATTATATATGTATAATAAATTATACATAAAATATAATGATCTGTTATATAGACTTTTAAGGTGGGAATATAATTACTGTTTCTAGCTTTGTTAAATGAAATTTAAAAGTTTTAGATCATTCATTTATCCATAGCAAATTATTCAATTATCTAATATTTACTTGGAATTAGGATATTGTATGAAATCATTAGCCTCTTACAGTGTGGAGTCTAGAGGGAGACAAGAAGAAGTATATCCTCAATTAAGAGATATTCACTGCCAATAAATTGCAACTAATAATACCTTTACTTTTCTCAGTGACATGGCTCATGAGGAAGAGAAAATGTGTGTAAGTTTCAGATAAAGAGAGAGAGAAAAAGAGACAGAGAAGAGATTAACTTGTCCATTTTTTAAATTTTATTAGATTATACTAGCATCAATCATCATTAAACAAGTTAACTCCAATAAACGGAATTCTCCCTACTACATGGTGGCTGATTTAACTTAGAGAAAGTAAGGGGAGTGGGATTAGAAGAGGAAGGTGATATGGTTTGGCTGTGTTCCCACCTAATTATCATCTTGAATTTTAATCCCCATAATCCTCACATGTCATGGGAAGAATGTGGTGGGAGGTAATTGAATTATGGGGCAGTTTCCCCTATGATGTTCTCGTCAATGAGTTCTCGAGATCCGATGTTTATATAAGTGTCTGGCATTTCCCCTGCTGGCACTCATTCTCTCTCCTGCCGCCCTGTGAAAAGGTGTCTTCCACAGTGATTGTAAGTTTCCTGAGGCCTCCCCAGCCATGCGGAACTGTGAGTCAATTAAACCTCTTTTCTTTATAAATTACCCTGTCTCGGGCATTTTCTTATAACAATGTGAGAATTGACTCATACAGAAGGCAATTGTATAAATAACTTAGTTGAAAAAAGAAATACGAGGGAGGATTTACAGAATTAAATGTAGTCTGCAAGGATTCATTTCAACATCATCTTAGGCCAGTTTTTTGGAAACAGACTGAACTGACAATTTGCAGGCAGGAGGCTTATTGGTGTGTAACTGAGAAATGGTACCTATAAGTAGTTAAGGAAAGAAGAACTGGGTGAAGGGAGAATTTGAACTGCAGTCCAGTTCCCATAGAGGCCTCAGCCAATCATGCATGGGCCTGTGGGGCTACCATACTCCTTTAGAGTTGTAGTGAGTTGAAATAAATGACCCAAACATTGCCCCGGCTCCCTTAACCAGTTGTTGGATCTGGGCTGCCCTTGGGAAAATGGCATTATATTGAGTGAGAGAGCTTTTATCGGATAAAAGCCATTTCAGGGAGCGACTCATCTTTGAGTGATCAATAGCCACTAGGGAAATAAATGTCAGGGATAAAGAAGGAGGTGTCTGGCCTAACTGTGTGACCGTACTATCCATTACAAACATCTTGATGAGTCCCATTCGCTAGTTTATCCCCAGGATTTGCCTCTGTAGAGAGATTATTCATCAGCTTTCAAGGCAAATACACAGGCAAAATAGTCCACCTTAAGGGGACTATGTAACAGATAATTATTTATTATATTATATGTATAATTCATTATTCTTATATAATAATGTATGTATGATATATATTTATACTATATATAAAACAATTTTAAAGGATATAAGCCTGACCCTTTTCACTAACTATCTCCTCCACCCAGACTATCAAAATTCAGCTAAGTAACTCAAGTTTAGAGTTAGTAATCAAAAAGCATTTGGAGGCAGTTTAGAAGATGAATTGCAAGGGAAAAGGGGTGGAGGCTCTGAATTAAAAAGAATATTGGTCACAGAAAACAGAATAGTGAAGTCAACATCCACAAAGTTAGTGTGCCAGAGGGGATTGAAGGGAGACACCTGCTTGCATTTTTTTCCCTAGACCTACTTTCAGAGGTGTAGCAGACAAATTACAGAAGATAGAATTAAAATAGATTCCACCCATGGGGTCTGCCACTATTCCCACCTAAATAATACAGAAGAGCCAGGAGCATGCATAATGAGAATTCATAATTTCACAGCTTAAATAAAAGCTATAAAAGTCATCAGAATGTTAAACCTGCAAGCAGAGAGAGAGAAATGTGTTTTTTATTTTTATTTTTTAAAGTCCTTGGTGCAACTCCAAGAAAGAAAGCAAAAATTTCTTAGAGGCCAAGAAATAGAAGCACAAAGGAGGCCTGTGGGGAAGGTAGCATTTTACAAAGAAATATCAAATACTTTTTAAAAATGAGATATCACCTGAAATATTCCCTAGGAATAAAATTAACTGATAACCCCTAATTAAATAAGATATTGATATTTTAATTTATAAGTGCATATGAATGGCTGTGAAATGTATTTATTAGAATGTGTTTCAGTTGTGCAATCATTGTAAACTGCTCTGTGCCATAAAATTACATAATTAGCACACCAGAACTTATATTTAATACCAACATTTAAGTCTTCTTGCAAATGGTGTTGTGTGGGAGTTACTGCATCTTATAAACTTGCCGGGGCAGAGAAAATTCCAAAGAATGTTTAGTGGGGGGAAAATGTATTGTAGATTTCATATGATAAAGTAGTGAATGTGAACTGGCTCTGGCATCTGGATACCTGGTTCAAACACTAACTCTACTACTTACAAGTTGAGTTCAAACAAGTTATTTGAACTCTGGACTCAGTTTCCAAATCTGTAAAATGGGGTATTATTTGTAATTATCTCACAGGACACCAATTAATGTTTAGAGCTTATTTTAGCATCTTTCATATTTTAATTATGTCATAAATGACAACTATTGTTGTTAATAATATTAATGCTATAGTGAGCAGAAATATGTCTTTAGAATAGAAATATATTGGGACAATAGTAAGCGTGGATGTGGAGAATATAATGAGTGAGGATTTAATGAGTAGAATCAATTATGTTTAGTAAAACTGAGTTACCTGAAATGTAAGAAAGCTAAAAGACTTGATGTATTTCTTCTTAATAAATTAGTTTTTATTATTATTTTGAGAAACTCCTTGGTAATATACATTCCGTATGAGAAGCTCCTTAGTAATATACATTCAGTAGTTTGATCAGGTCGTGTGTTGGGACCCCTAATGTTTCTTCACATTTGATGATAATAAGAACAAGCATTTATTAATTTTCTCACTGTTTGTCTGATATTGCTCTAAGCACTTTATATGCATAGACCAAATTAACCTTCCCTGAAACCTTTATCAGGTACATGTGAGTCTCATCTCAAGGGGAAGAAAATATGATAAGAGAGTT
Source organism: Homo sapiens (assembly GCF_000001405.40). Classification (NCBI taxonomy): domain Eukaryota; kingdom Metazoa; phylum Chordata; class Mammalia; order Primates; family Hominidae; genus Homo; species Homo sapiens. Next base: position 30,863 of record NW_025791791.1, read on the forward strand.
TCTAGTAACTTCCACGTTGTTAAATCACAGAGTCAAGACACAATCCCAGGCACTCTGGCTTCAGAGCTTGGGACCTTAAACAGTATACTATATTGTAGTATATCTGCTTATATGTGTCCACTGCGCAAACATGGTTAAAAACATTGGTAAGTAAACCTGTTATTTATTGTCAATTCAAAAGAAAAAAAGTTTTCTGATTTCAGTGGCTCACCATTTCTATTATAGTCTGTCCCTATTTACACTGTTAGACTTTACAACCTCACTTCCTGGTAATTCACAAACAGTGGTAATTACTATTACACTATGACTATTTACAACCTCACTTCTTGGTAATTCACAAACAGTGAAAATGAAACAGGGGTTTTAGGTTTTCTCCACTCAGTTCATCTCCTTTATGGCTTTACCTGGCTAACAGCAAGAGTGGGAGCTGCGGTTATGTACATCCACAGCATCTAACAATGGTGAGTGGCTTACCACATGCTTATGGGAATCAACTGGTGAGAAATAAGGGTGCCATAGTCAAAATAGCCTAATACACCAACTATCAACACATGATATTGGCAGCCCCAGGGGGATTACAGTAGGATTCAACCAAAAGGATTGACTTTATTTATCTTATAGTCACACATATTTGAGGTAATTTGGAAACCTACTTTCAGACATTAGATGTTTTCTCTAACACTAAACAGCAATTATTTCTTTAAGATCATATATTAGTTTGCTAGGGCTTCCATAATGAAATACCACCAACTGGGTAGCTTAAACAGCAGATTTTTTTTTTCTGACAATTTTGGAGGTTGAAAGTCCAAGATCAAAGTGTTAGCAGGATTGGTTTCTTCTCTCCTTGACTGGTAGATGACTATCTTCTCCCTGTGTCTTCACATGGTCTTCTCTCTGTATATGTCTGTGTGCAAATTTTCTTTTCTTGTGAAAACACCAGTCATATTAGATTAGGGTCCAGTGACTTCATTTTAACTTAATTATCTCTTTAATGACTCTGTCTCCTCTGTAGTTGAATTCTGAAGTACTAGAGGTTAGGACTTCAATATATAAACTTTTTCGGAGGACACAATTCAGTCCATGACACAATATCAGTGGAATAAAAATCATTCTACTCTACCATATTAGAACAATATTTTGGGCCTGGCTTATGGCCCTGTACTCCCAGTACTGTGGGAAGCCAAGGCAGGAGGATCACCTGAGGTCAGGAGTTTGAGACCAACCTGGCCAATGTGATGAAACCCCATCTCTACTAAAAATACAAAAATTAGCCAGGCATGGTGGCGCATGCCTGTAATCCCAGCTACTCAGGAGGCTGAGGCAGGAGAATTGCTTGAACCCGGGAGGCAGAGGTTGCCGTGAGCCAAGTCGCACCACTGCACTCCAGCCTCGGCGACTTGAGTAAGACGCTGTCTCGGAAAAAAAAAAGAAAAAAAAAGAACAATATTTTTCCACTGTCACTCAAACTTACATATTATTCTAGTCCAACAGAAGCTTTAAGTTAAAAAAGATAATTTTAAACTTTGCTCAACATGGTCTACTAATAAGCTGGCTGCATGAAAGTGAGCTGGAATTTCTTCCCCACATAGTCTTTTGTTCTTTTGATGGGAGATGGCAAAAAGGAAAGCTTTGCAAAGTCACACCTCATTTTGCATACTTACTAGAATAAAAGAAGAATGTTCAGAATACGCACAGATGAATAGAATGTCTGACCTTAATGTCATTTTTATTAGAATGTACCAAGCCTTCCGTTTTTCAACTAGCAATAGCTATGGTTACATTTCTCATATTTTTTGGAAACCATCGGTTAGAGCAGTTGTGTCCCCAAATATTCTTCATCTTAATGATGTGAAAAACAAATTACTAGACACTAAATTACTAAACATTTTATATATTAAGGTTCTCAAAATTTTACAAATTAACTGAAGCTAAAAATTAAAGCAAAACAGTGACAAAACACTCAAAATGTAATTTCAAAGTTAGCAATTTTTTGTTAACTATATAATTATGGAAGAAACATGCATCTTTATGAATCTGAAATGTTGATGTACATTATTTTAGTTCAGTATTACTTTATTTCTTCTCCCAAATGTTACTGAGCAGTAAAGAACAGATTAATTTCCATGTTCTTCCCTATGGCAGCATATAAAATATTATTTAAATAAGGATATATGGAGTAAGTCTGAGCCTAGGTTAGAACTCTAGTGTGTATAGTGGAAAACTTGATAGGCTTAAGAAAGACTTAAAATCTTGTTTAATAGAAACTCCAGATATAAATATAAGAAGACAAGACTGCATAATGATCCTCCATGAACCCATTATAGCCTCAAGAGTTACTAAATAATGACAAATCCTTTTCTTTTTGATCCATAACTCCACTCACACCCCTTTTCACTTGATTATTTAAAAGTGAGAGCCTGAGCAACATAGCGAGACCCCATTTCTACAAAAAATTAAAAATAAAAGCTAGCCAGGCATGGTGGTTTGCACCTGTGTTCCTAGCTACTGAGGAAGCTAAGGCAAGAGGAGCACTTGAGCACAGGAGTTCAAGGCTACGGTGAGCTATGATTGTGTCACTGCACTCCAGCCTCGGTGACAGAGCGAGACCCCCATCTCTTAAAAAACAAACAAACAAAAAAAAGAAATGAGTTCCAGACATCAAAAAATTTAGAAATAAATATTTGAGTGTGTAACTGTAAAATATAATGGTTCTTAATAAGTACAACACAGTAGGCCAGGTGTGGTGACTCATGCCTGTAATCCCAACACTTTGGGAGGCTGAGGTGGGTGGATCACTTGAGGTCAGGAGTTTGAGACCAGCCTGGCCAACATGGCGAAACCCCATCTCTACTAAAAATACAAAAATTAGCTGGGTGTGGTGGCGCATGCCTGTAATCCCAGTTACTTGGGAGGCTGAGGCAGGAGAATCACTTGAACCCCTGAGGTGGAGGTTGCAGTGAGACGAGATCACACCATTCAACTCCAGCCTGGGCAACAGAGTGAGACCATATATATATATATATATATATATATATATATATATATATATATATATATATCACAATAGTATTCACATGCTGCTTCAATTAATTTCTTTTTTAACTAAATGTCTAGTCACTTCACATTTCCCAGGTTATCATATATATAGTTATATATTTATGTATAATAAATACATGACATATATTTGCCATTATATAAGTATATGATATATTCAATATATTCAATATGCATTCAAAAATATTTGAAAATTCAAATGAAGTCTATATATTCCCACTGGTTGAAATGTTGCTTGTCTTTTTTTCACTTGCTAGTTACACTTCCCTTTTCCTTTCTCTCTGTTTTTCCTGTCATTTTGTTGTTGTTATTGAGGAAACTAAGTCATCAGTCCTAGAAAGCTCTCAACACAGAAACTGCTTTTTGCTGATTGTCAGTAATGACAGAAAAACAATTGCCTAAGTTGTCTGTTGCTAAGAATATTTTTTTCAGAATAAGAACAGATGAAGGAAGGAGGCAGAGGAAGTATTCTCTGATGTCCAAAGTTTGTGTGGAACACAGGAAAGAAGGCCAGACCAGAGATTAAATCCTGACTCTGAGAAAGACTGGCTTGGTATGAGGCAAATTTTTATTTTTCTGGGTGTCAGTGTCCAGGTATATAAAATCACATATAAGTACATCATAGTTAAATTACTGAAAACCAAATATATTTTTTAAGTTGTGAAGGCAGCTAGAGAATAAAAGACATGTTTTTTAACAGGATAACAATAAGAGTGATAGCTGATGTCACAATGAATACCTAAAACAAGTTATCTTGAAAGAAGAGTGGAGATGAAATGCTTAGTGACGTTAAAAGCTTATGTGAAATATTAAAAGTAATAACCTGTGATAGAGAAACAAACACACAAAAAGAAATTATATGGTTTAAAGCTTTGGTCTGGGGCAACTGAACCAAGGTCAAATCTCAGCTTCACCATTTTGTTTCTATACAGCTTGTGGTAGTTACATTGGCTGATTCTTAATTTTCCTTATCTTTCAAATGGTTATAATAATGTCTACCTCATGGAGATGTTGTAAAGATTAAAAGATAGAAATCAGTAAGTTGCTTAATAAGTGTCATAGCTATCACAAATTGACAAACGTGATTGGGGGAAGAGACTATGCTAAGGAAATATAAATAAAATGACCCTGAATTTTTCCTTTCTTTCATGTTTATGTATGTGTATGTGAGAGGCTGAAGTGACTATCATCACAGTAAACCCAATATTTGAAATAATTCATTTGAATAATTTATTTTCTTTTCAATTATTTTCTAGCTGAGTTAGAAGGTTTTTGGGTTTTTTTTTATTTTGGTTTTTTGTTTGTTTGTGTGAGATGGAGTTTCACTCTCGTCAACCAGGCTGGAGTGCAATGGCACGATTTTGACTCACTGCAACCTCCACTCCCAGGTTCAAGTGATTCTCTTGTCTCAGCCTCCAGAGTAGCTGGGATTGCAGGCGCCTGCCACTATGGCTGGCTAATTTTCATATTTTTAGTAGAGACGGGGTTTCACCATGTTGTCCAGGCATGTCTCAAACTCCTAACCTCAGTTGATCCGCCTGCCTCGGCTTCCCAAAGTGCTGGGATTACAGGCGTGAGCCACCGCGCTGAGCCTGTTTTTGTTGTTGTTGTTGTTGTTTTTGTTGTTGTTGTTGTTTTTAATAAGTAAGGAAGACATAGTCAGAAGGATATGAGAAGGGATATACAGGGGCTCAAACTTTATTTCCCTGGCTGAGGGTACATTATTGTTCCTTGTATTATCCTCCATGCCTGTCTTTATGTCTAAAAGCTTTATAATAATTTCCAAAGTTATAATTTAATTATGGTTAGCTAGCACTAAGAAATGACAAGTCTTCAGCAAATCTGTGGGATAATTTAGTTTCAAGTTTCAGCTAATGACGTATGGGGTGTGCAGAATGTGTTAATGATATGTTATATTACAGCTGTCGATTACAAACAACTTTACTTCCTGTTTCTCTGCTCTTTATCTGTTTAATATCCTCTTTCTCATATACCCAAACACTTCTCTTCCTTTAAGGATATTAAGTCACCTTTGCAGTTATTAATGTTATATTGGTTGAAATAATTTAGGGAATGAGGTCAACAATGTACAGACTAGATAATGTGGCTCCTGGACTGCAGCAACATTGGCTGCAGTTAGCCAGGAAAAATTTGTTAGATTATTGGAAGCTGTTTTTATTTTTTTCATTAAATTTTAAATACATTCTGCTTAGTCAAGCCTACATGGAAAGGGTTTTATTTGATAGTTTTCAGTGCTCAATCTATTATTCTAATGAATGATATATAAACATGTTTGTTTATATATTGTTATCTTACTTCAATGATTTTTCATAATTATTAAAGCAAGCTCTGGTATGAATTAATGAAGGTATGTCGATTTTAGCAAAAGACAAGGATGCTTCCAGTTTTTTTTTTATTTTTAATTTTTTAAATTAACCTTTAAATGTATCACATTTTTAGGGATCATAGTTCAGGCTTACTCTAGCTGGCATTGTTCTCTCTAGATATGTATTTATCTATTTGGAGGAACTGTTGTGCTGTAGAGTGTTTCGGAGAGAAATTTTTATAAGAAATAATGTTTATTTAGAATAAATAATTTGATATTTTCTTAGAGCGTTTATTTATTTTCCACTTAGAAAATAAGGTTCTTCTGGTAGTAGAACTTAGTTTTTGGTTTGGGTCTCATTCATATAACCCATGTATATAGAATGATGTCAAATATAAGTCATCTCCAGAGCAGATGTGAATTAAGGATCACACCAGCTGTACATTCTTCTGTCAGACCACAGTGGTTGGTTCAAAGATAGGTACATTACCTACGTTAAGCCAATCAGAATGAACAAGTTGGATGTGGAGCAGTGAGAATGCAGTTCTGGAGCAGCAAAGATCTGCTTGTGACAAAGAGAAGAGACCCTTATTAATAATAAAACAAAAAATGGGGGAAAGATGATGGGAGAGAGGGAGGACAACTGAGTTATTTTGATAAAGCCCCTGATTGACCACATCAGAAGTTAGCATATCCCTTGGTCCTGAAATCGAGTTTGGTTTTAGTTTTCTGGATTCACCAATAAATGAGTCCTAATTGATACAATTTCATTGATAATGTTTAAACTGAAAGTATTATAAAAATAAATTACTACAATATTAAAAAGAATTCTGGATGTTTATTATCTTTGTGAAACTAGCTTTTTGATACCATATAGTTTTTGAACTCAACATTTTAGTTTTTATTTGATGTTTGAGGTAGCCCAAAGAACAGCAACTACATTCTTGCCACATATTGACAGGCATGCAGCCAAACTTAAAAAAAATATAGTCTAATTAATCCCCAAGTACCTACCCTGTTTGAGCCTCTTTGCTCCTCACCCTCCATGTATATCCCATGAAAATATTTAATCTTATGGATTTATGAGTTTGTTTAGTTAACTAGATAGTTCCAATATTCTGCTCAACATTTTATAAGTCACCAGAGTTTAGAAATGCCATATTCCCAGTATTAGGCATATACTGAATAGTCTTTTATGTTATAGACAATTTCCTTTTTCAATCCCCAAGGGGGCATCAGGGTCAAACTCAATGATACTCTTATTCTCAGGTTGCTGGCAGAAGAACTAATTCCGTGACAACGGCTCTCTCTCTATCTCTGACCTCCAAACCCCTGAATTTCTGATGAATGGCACCCTAGGAAACGAGGCTTGACATGTTTGCTTGCTTGTTTGAAATCAATCGAGAAAGTAAAAAGTACTTTAGAGATGCATGGGGTTCTCACATGGATTTATTGCAGAAAAATATATTTATTTTCTAATACATAATTTACTTCCTTTTTTTAGGCAGAGAGATCCATTTGTGTTTCAAGAGGTATAAGCAAGAGTGATGATTGAGAGCTTAACATAGACATAATCTCTAGCTCTCGATGATTAGTTCTCCATGGATTTTTGCCATGGATTAATACACAGCTGCAAAATTTGTGCAGTAATCCTCAGCTATGCAATTTGGTGGCAGGCTTTATTTTAGAGCCATTGTCCCTACAAATAATTAGAACACAACATGTATCAGTGCTTAGTTTATATCTTCATACTGATAGATAAACTGATAGATAAAGGGAAGGCAATAGCCTAAAACTACAAGGAAGTCAACACAGAGATAAAATCTGACAGTAAGATACATTATGTGTGAGTGAATTGGGTTATTATTCAGTAAGAGCAGGGTGGCTTCAGGGCAGTGATGGCATGTGAGTTGTACCTCAAATAGTGGCTTGGGTTGTATGAGAACTATGCATTTCTAATAGGAGTAGAGGTGGCAGAACAATGTAGGCAAGGCATGTGTGTGAGCAGGAGATAAAGCCTGGTGGAACAAAGTGGTCACACTTGGAAGAAATGAGACATAATGATAGAAGTGAATCCTGAGCACACGGTTGAGGAGGGTATGTACCGACAGTCAAAGGGTTTCAGAATTTATCCTGTGAACATTACGTGTTCTTACTGTTTTTAGGTATCTGCAGGTAGCTAATGAGAAAAAAAAAATCAGGTTAGCATGCATGTTTTGGCTTCTGGAAAACCAAATTAGGGAACATTTGGGAAAGCCCTTTTCATCATAATAACTGGTTCAAAACAACAAAATGGAGTGGAAAGTAGTCAATGTACCATTCTCTTTGAATGTGCGGAAATGACAGGATTAAATTCAATTAGTTTTGAAATCATCTGCTATGACTAGAGGAAGGCAGCATAGTTATCTCACCTTAATTAGTAGTAAAATGGAAGACAAAGTTACAGCAACATGGCTTTGGGGAGATACCTGGAACAAGTAGGATAATATTAACATGGCATTGTTGAGATGCCTTAGGTTATGGGAAATCACAGCTTCAAATACTAACTCACAGCATAGAGAGGCCAAGAAATAGCTACAGTAAATAAATGAATATGCCACTCAGCAGACAGAAAGAAGGGAAATGAAAGTTCTCTTTAAGACACATAATAATAATCAAGGTTCCAAAACTACTAGACTTAGTATATAGTTATCACCCAGACTGGAACCACTGTATGTCTGAGAAATGAAGAGATATTGTCAAGATATTGTCAGTCAAGAAAAAAGCAGCACTGTTGGGAAGGGAGGGTGAAGAGTGTTCTAGATTCAAGTGCAACTTGAGAGAAAGTATAAAATTGATAGATATTGTTTGGATAGAAAGATTAAGGAAAGAACAGGCAGAAGATGGCTTAACAGTTGAGACAGGTTTATTGAGAGTAAATCTGAGAAGGGCTTTTGGCCAGCAGGGTCAGGAGCAAAATTCTCTTACTGCCTGAGGCTTTTTTAAAGGGCCTGGTGGAGAAGTGTGCTTTGAAGCAAAATTTTATTAGTAAGGGGTTGGGAAAGTGCTGGCTGGTTTGTTATGGTTAGCGCCATTATGCTCTGTTGAAGCTATGGGCAGGGCTGACATTTGCAGTTTTGGCCAGGTGGCTTAAGATGGTGGGGTGTTACAAAGATGACGGTACTCTTGTCCTATCAATCTGGACTCTGTGGTTAGATAAGGAGATGGGCCAGCATGCTTTTATGGGTACTTCCTGCTGAAAGGGGGCTGTGAGATTGTTGGTTCCGGATTGACTGGAGGAGTTTTCAGGTGTTCCTCCACCGTTTTCAGGTGTTCCTGGGTGGCGGCTTGTGAGATGGCTGTGATCCTGTTGGTAAGGAACTTTTGGGAGAGGGTTACTAAACATGGTAAAACAATAATTCCAGGCCGATTATTATTAGAAGGCCTATGAAGGGGAGAATTCGGGTTAATAATTTACCATTTAACCAGGAACTAATTTGGTTTTTTTGTTGCTCCCTAATTCTTTGAGTTTTTTTCATTCAGTTTTGAGGCTGCATCCCTTATCAAGCCTGACTGGTTGAGATAAAAGCAGCATTCTTCCCCTAGAGAGAAGCAGAGACCTCCCTTCTCTGCTGTAAGGAGGCCGAGTCTTCTCTGGTTTTGGAGGACTACTCTAGTTGGGGAGTCTAGCTGGTCTTGAATTTTTACAAAGCCTTTCGCTGTATTTTCCAGGGATTCTTGTAGGTCTGTGGAGAGAGCCTCAAAATATGAGAGTGAAATGTCTCATTCCCCAGCTCCTAAGCTGATGCCCAGCACAGCCAATAAGGGAATGATTTAGATTGCCCTTTTCTGTTTGACATGTTGAACGGAAGGCACTGGCAAGGATTGGTTAGGGGGAGGTATTCTAATGGCTAGAGAAAGGTAGGCCAGAGTACAGGTGCCTGTCCGATTAGTTGGGAGGCAGAGGTATGTGTTGGTGCCACACAAGAAAAACAAGCCTGCTTTGGAAATGCAGGTAGAGATATGAAGGGCAAAAGGTGGATTAAGGGACTGTTTTTTTGTGGTGGGTTTCTGTCTCCAAACAGACAGTGGAGATGCAAGGGAGGCTTCAGTGATAGTGGAGATGTGTTAGGAGTTGACCTTTGTACATTTAATGAAATATGAAGTGGCACCGGTTATGGATAGCCACGGATAGAGATGAGTGTTGGGGATAGAGCAATTAAAAGATGCAGCTGTGACTATAGGGGGGTGGGGGAGCTGTAAAGCGGACTCGTTGGAGGAACAACCCATTGGCCTCTGGTGAAACTTGATATTCAGCCTGGTTAGTTTGATGGTCTGTAGGATGCTGGATAGAAATGGTTTTGTTACATTCTCCTGGGATGAGGGAACCTACGGGGGATGTACCTGCATGGCTGAAAAACAGAGTAGAACCTGTTGAAGGAGGGGGGCATGAAGAGCAATGGGTCCTTCCATAGAGGGGTCAGAGGAGGCATATCTTGTTAGGGGGTTATAATCTGCTTGGAACAGTTTGTTGGCTTGGTTAGCAAATTAGTTAGTGTAGTTGCCAAGTAGAGTGTCTGCCCTTTCAAAGAAGGAAGACTCCTTTTGGAGTTTGTAAATTAGAAATGTATTTTGAGTTAACACTGTAGGGAGAGGTGCTGGTAGGGCGTTATATGCTGACAAGGAGAGTGATAGGCACATTCAATAATTATAAGCATAAGAGGAATTAGCTTGCCGCAGAAGGTACTGAGTGAGATTTAAAGAGCGTTCCAGATGGTTAATGTTGAGTAGTGACTTGATGGGGGCCAAGGATTCCATTGTAGTGAGGAAAAGTAAACTTAGGTAAGAAGGAACAGCAGGCCTAAGGAAAAGAAAGTTATTTGGGTGGGGGAGAAATCCTGAGAGGCATCTTGAAGCCGCAAGTCCCACAGAAGGTTAAGGATTTGATTAGGGGAAACTAGAGGCTCCATGTGAGGGCACCAGGTAATATCTGAGCTAAGGAGTGTGAGGAAGAGGCAAAAATTGTGGGGAGAGAGACAGAGAGAGTTGATAGGCTTTTAATAGAGAGGTTTAGGTGGAAATTTCTTCTTTGGGAATCCTGGTTAGGCAGATGGATGTAGGCCCTGTGGAAACACAGGAAAAGGTTGGGAGGGGTTTACTTTGTGTTGGTGGGGGGCTGGATGAGGGAGGATTGGATTTTTTGAGGGATGAAAGGTGGAACCAATTAGCAATTTTGGGAGAGCATTTTTTAGAATGCCATTTGTCCTTTTTACCTTCCCAGAAGATTGAAGTAGGTAAGGGATATGGAACTTCCAGGTAGTATGAAGGGCTTAGAAGATTTGGAGTGATTTGGGCAGTGAATTTGGGATTATTATTAGACAGCCTCTGATTTAGGAGTAGTAGGGCTGCTAGGGAGTTTATTTGGTTTTGTGCATGCTCCACTTGGGCTGCTAACTCCGTTAGTTTCTCCTTTAGTTGAGCAGACAAGAGAAGTGAAAAAGCTAGACTTGTAGAACTAAGGCCTATTGCAGAGGAAATTCCCAGAGCAGGGAGGATGGGAATTAATTGGACCACCCTTTCTGTTTCCACATGTGCGTCTAGAGGGAGGGGAAATTTTTGATCCTTTGTGGCGACAGACAGGGAGGCGTATAAGGGTGGTGTTTGCATAGGAGTTTCCTGAATGTCCCTCATGCCAACAACAGAGATGGAGGAATGGGTTAAAGGACCTTGGTATTTAGTTAATACAGATGAGCTTGCCCCAGTATTTAAAGGAAAGAAACAGTTTTACCAGATACCGTCCCGATCATCCTGGGCTCCGTGGACTCACTGGTTGTGGGGGCAAAGGATCCCAGCCTTTTCAGTTGTTTGTTGACAGTGCCAGCAGAGAAGAGATTTTATTATGTGGCAGTTAAGGGGCTACTTTTTGGGCCGCACCTGAACAGGGAGGGTGTACCTGTTGGGGGCAGTCCATTTTCCAGTGTTCCCATTGACCACATGTCAGGCATGGCTTAGTGGGGCAGGGGTGGGGATGGGGGGTGGGGAAGGCTTGGGCACGTCTTTGCCCAGTGTCCAGGATTGCCACAACAGAAGCCAACTCTTGGGGTATTGGGAGGATTCCCTTTTGAGTGTCCAGGGGGGTTTTGAACAGCAGAGGCAAGCATTTGGTATTTTAAGTGAAGATGCTTTTTACATTTTGTTTTCCTTTTTTTTTTTATTGTAGAAGACATGAAAGGCGGCACTCAGGGGTTTCCACTGAGGAGTTTGGGGGCCCTTTTTTAGGCTTTGGAGTTTTCTTTGAATACTGGGGGCAGACTGGGAGATGAACTGGAGATGGAGGAAGGTTTGACCTTCCCTAGATTCTGGGTTTAGTTTAGTATAGTTTAGCATAGCCTCTGTGAGGTGAGGGAAAAGAAAAAAAGAGGACAGGGTTTTTTAATAATTTATGGTTGCTCCCTCCCGGAGAGGGAGAATAGCAAGAGCAGTCTCTGGACAGTTAAGCCGGGGAGAAGGAAGGAGGGAAGGAAGGTTGAGCGGGTGGGGCTGACAGGGAAAGAGACCCAGGCTGTATGGGAGCAGGTTGGGGGACATGCCGGGGTAGGTTGAGGACTGAGAGAGGTGTGAGCGAATGTAAAAGTAGGCTTGAAGATAGGGGACTTTTTGCCTTTTGCCGTTCCAGTTGAGGAAATTTTCTAGGTTCCTAAGAACTTGGAAATTGAAAGCGCCGTTCTCACACCAAAGGCCAGTGTTATTTAATTTGTACTGGGGCCAAGCTGTATTGCAGTAGACAAGTAAGGGTTAGGCTTTGATAATCGAGATGAGAGGAGGGAGGAATTTGAGATTGCTTGGACCCCATTGAGAACTAGCAAGGAAAGGCCGGAGGTGTCTGCGGTTAGACTAGGCATCCGCAGATAAAGGGCAGAGACCAGAGATTTTCTCCCAGAGAAGAGGCAGATTGCAGGGAGACGTCAGGTGTCCCTGAACGTTCACCTCCTAAGGTCCCTGATGGTTCCTCAGGGACCAGGACTGCAGACCTGACTTTCCTGGGTACCACAGGAAGGACATGTGGGGGGCAAATTTTACCAGTTTTTCGAATTAATGTCCGGTGTTGGATGCTTTAGAGGGAACCGACAAAGGACCTCTCAGACTTGAGCCACGGGGGAGAAATAGAAAGCGAAGGCCGGGCGCGGTGGCTCACGCCTGTAATCCCAGCACTTTGGGAGGCCAAGGCGGGCGGATCATGAGGTCAAGAGATCGAGATCACCCTGGCTAACACAGTGAAACCCCGTCTCTACTAAAAACACAAAAAATTAGCCGGGCGTGGTGTCGGGCGCCTGTAGTCCCAGCTACTCAGGAGGCTGAGGCAGGAGAATGGCGTGAACCTGGGAGGCAGAGCTTGCAGTGAGCCTAGATCGCGCCACTGCACTCCAGCCTGGGGAACAGAGCGGGACTCCGTCTCAAAAAAAAAAAGAAAGAAAGAAAGCGAATTACCCAGATTGGGTGGTTGGTGGCAAAATTCTGGGTCCGGGGATTTTGAAAACCCATCGGGGAGTATCCCTGGCCAGAACCTTGCAGTCCTCTCGGGTCAGTCAGTTAACACACGCAATTCGCTTACGGAAAAGAGAGGAAGGGTTGAAGGAGGGAACAGGAAGCCAGAGAACCCTCAGGATCCAGGAGTTAGCCCGGGACCAGCTGCCGCTGCCCATTGCTTCCTCGGTTGCAAGAGAGTTCCCTGCCCCAACACCTATCCCAGGTTTTGACACAAATGTTGAGATAGAAAGATTAAGGAAAGAAGAGGCAAGAAGGCAGTTTAACAGTTTAACAATTAAAGACAGGTTTATTGAGAATAAACCTGAGAAGGGCTTTTGGCCAGCAGGGTCAGGATCAAACTTCTCTTACAGCCTGAGGCTTTTTGTTTGTTTGTTTTTGACGGAGTCTCCCTCTTGTCACCCAGGCTGGAGTGCAGTGGCACAATCTCGATTCACTGCAACCTGTGCCTCCCAGGTTCAAGTGATTCTCCTGCCTCAGCCCCCCGAGTAGCTGGGATTACAGGCGCCTGCCACCACACCCGGCTAATTTTTGTATTTTTTAGTAGAGGCGGGGTTTCGCCGTGTTGGCCAGGCTGGACTCGAACTCCTGACCTCCAGTGATCCACCAGCCTCGGCCTCCCAAAGTGTTGGGGATACAGGTGTGAGCCACCGTGCCAGGCCTGCCTGAGGCTTTTTTAAAGGTCCGGGGGGATAAGTGTGCTTTGAAGCAAGATTTTATTAGGAAGAGGTTGGAATAGTGCTGGCTGTTTTTTTATGCTCTGTTGAAGCTGTGGGCGGGGCTAACATTTGCGTTTTGGCCAGATGGCTTAAGATGGTGGAGTGTTATAAAGATGGCGGTACTCTTGTCCTATCAGATACTATAAACAAAAAATTACATTCTAAGCCCCCGGCTTAATGGACTTTTCCTCTCAGCTAAGAACACTCTAAAGCAAACCTGAAACACTAGTTCAGGCCATGATGAGAATGGACAGTTGGTCAGACTTGCCTCATTATACCTTCCTCTCTTTGTAAATTCAGGCACAACTGACCAGCATTAAGAGGGACCTAAAGATTGACAAAACAGCCTCCTTTTAGCAGTAAGATACCAATATAACATTTAACAGGCCCTGAAAGAAATCAAAGTATTTTACCCCGAAGTATATTTCTTTGCCATATTTTGAAATCACCCCATAAAGCTGCCCTTATGGGTAACATATATATTCTGTAGAGAATCCCCTTTCCTTTTCAGGTGTTTTTCCTGATCCAGGAGAGAATTATCTAAGAGTCTGACACTCTTTTAAGTCTAAGAAGCATTCACAATGGATTCTCTCTGAAGCCTGCTACCTGGGGGGTTCATCTGCATAATAATAAAAATTTTGGTCTCCACAACATTTTATCTTAACCCAGACACTCCGTTCTGTGGATTCCAGGTCTTTAGATAAATTCTTTCAACCATCTGCCAATCAGAAAATGTTTGAAACCACCCATGACTTGGAAGCCCCTGCTAAGAGTTGTCCTGTCTTTCTGGACCAAACCAATGTACATCTTACATGTATTGATTGACTGATTGACGTCTTGGTCTCCTTAAAATGACAGAAAACCAAACACCGCGTGTTCTCACTCATAGGCGGGAATTGAACAATGAGATCACTTGGACACAGGGCAGGAACATCACACACAGTGGCCTGTTGCAGGGTGGGGGATGGGGGAGGGATAGCATTAGGAGAAATACCTAATGTAAATGATGATTTTATGGGTGCAGCAAACCAACATGGCACATGTATACCTATGTATCAAACCTGCACGTTGTGCACATGTACCCTAGAATTTAAAGCATAATTAAAAAAAAAAAGTATGAAATCATACTGGAATGCTGTAGCCTGAGCACCCTGGGCACATGTTGTCAGGACCTACTGAGACTGTTTCACGGGCATGTGCTTAACCTGGGCAAAGTCAGCTTCTAAATTGACTGAAACTTGTCGCAGATACATTTGGATTTACCACACCATGGTGCATTTCAGAAACAGAAAGACATGCTGGTGTGTTTGTAGCGGAGCTAGAAGACTTGAGTCTGGAAAGAAGTAGCCAGATCCCATGGCTTGAAGGCTTTACAAGCCATGGTGATATGGACAGGAAGCAGGGAAGTGCTGGGTAGAGAAAAGCAGGGTACCTGGCGAGGGCTCCACCCTCGGGCCTATGCCCATGGACCTAAGCAAGAACTGGCACTCGTGTTTTCATGCCCAGATGTTGTATTTTCCAAGACCACTCTGACCTACCACACCTACCATTCTGTGCCCATAAAAACCCGAGACCTTACCAAGCACAGACACAAGTGGTTGAATATCGAGAGGAGCAGAGGAACAGAGTGGCATAGAGCAGTGGAGAGCAGTGTGCTGGCATGGTAGAGAAGGAGGGAAGAAGCAACTGAACATTGGCTGAGAACAGCCAGATTCCAGGGGAAGAACACCTTCCCACTCCATTCCCCATCTCTGGTTCCCCATCCATGTCTCTGAGAGCCACCTCCACCACTCAATAAAACCTTGCACTCATCCTCCAAGCCCACCTGTATTCCGATTCTTCTGGTTCACTGGGCAAGAACCCAGGCTGTCACACTGGCCCCCTGTCCTTGCAATAAGGCAGAGCATCTATTGAGCTGATTAACGCCAGCCATCTGCAGATGGCAAAGCTGAAAGAGCACACTGTAACACACGCCCACTTGGGCTTCAGGAGTAGTCCTAGATACTGCTGTGGGGTCGGAGCCCAAAAGCTCTCTCCAGGGCCTCAGCACCTGCCCATCTTCATGCTTCCCCTAGGGGTTTAGGCAGTGGGGCACCTAAGGAGCAAGCCATATCCCTGTCACACACCCTGCGAGGGGGACGGGAACTCTCCCGTTTCAATGGTAAGCATGGTCCCCAGTGATAGAAGGATACTTTCAGTGCTAATCACAAGAATGAATTGTCTTTCCACATATCACAAAAAGATTATTAAAAATTATTGTATTGAGTAATTTGCCCTACCTAATTAAATTTTCTATTGTCCTTGCTTCGCTATGTTTAACCTGAAACTTAAGCCAAAATATACAGTTTATTGGAAAATCTTGATCCTAGGAGCATGTTTAAATTTTTAATTAAAACATTATTGACTGCCTGCTGTATGAAAAATTCTGTGCACGTTACTAAAGATACACAGATAAAAGATAATTTGACAAGGCGCAAATTCTAGAAAGTTACATCAGCTCATAAACAATTCTTCTAAAGAGTCAACTGAGTTAGTGGGGTGGAAAGGGAAGAAAGTAATCACAGTGTCAGAGACATGTGAACTAGAGCAACTCCATCTTGAATAGAAGCTGGGTAAAATGAGGCTGAGACCTACTGGGCTGCATTCCCAGATGGTTAAGGCATTCTGAGTCATAGGATAAGATAGGAGGTCAGCACAAGATACAGATCATAAAGACCTCGCTGATAAAACAGGTTGCAGTAAAGAAGCCAGCTAAAGCCCCCAAAACCAAGACGGCGATGACCTCTGGTCATTCTCACTGCTACACTCTGACCAACGCCAGGACAGTTTCCAAATGCCGTGGCAATGTCAGGAAGTTACCCTATATGGTCTAAAAAGGAGAGGCATACATAATCCACCCCTTGTTTAGCATATCATCAAGAAATAACCATAAAAATGTGCAACCAGCAGCCCTGAGGGTTGCTCTGTCAATGGAGTAGCCATTCTTTTATTCCCTTACTTTCTTAATAAACTTGCTTTCAGTTTACTCTACAGACTCACCGTGAATTCTTTCTTGTGCAAGATCCAAGAACCCTCTCTTGGGGTCTGGATCTCGACCCCTTTCCTGTAACAACAGTGTTTAGAATTTTTGGAGTCTCAATTTTGAATACTGGTTTAATAGTGAAGAAAGGTCACTCTTAATTTCAATTAAGTCGACTATTTGATGGAAAGTCCTATATAAGCATTGACAATGAGCTCACAACCTGGGAAAAATTTAAGACTACAGGGAAAAATCACAGAGTTTGACATAGTGGTAAAAACATGGACATTGAAATCAGTCAGAAATGGGTTGAACTATTTAGTAATGTGCCAGGCATTCTCAGACACAAGTGAATGAAACACAGTTTTTGCTCTTGGGGATCTTACAGTCTACAGAAGCCTTGTCCAGCCTGTGGCCAGTGGGCCACATGTGGCCCAGGACTGCTTTGAATGCAACCCAACACAAATTTGTAAACTTTCTTAAAACATGATTAGTTTTTCTGTGATTTTTAAAATTTTTTTAGTTTTTATTATTATTATTATTATTATTTTTTGACGGAGTCTTGCTCTGTCACCCAGGCGGGAGTGCAGGGGTGCGATCTCGGCTCACCACAACCTCCACCTCCCAGGTTCAAGTGATTCTCCTGCCTCAGCCTCCTGAGTAGCAGGGACTACAGGTGCACACCACCACGCCTGACTAATTTTTTGTATTTTTAGTAGAGAAGGGGTTTCACCTTGTTAGCAAGGATGGTCTTGAAACACTGACCTCATAATCTGCCCACCTCAGACTCCCAAAGTGCTGGGATTACAGGTGTGAGCCACTGCACCCAGCCCTCTGTGGGTTTTTTTAAAGCTCATCAGCTATTATTAGTGTTAATGTATTTTATGTGTGGTCCAAGACAAGTCTTCTTCGTCCAGCGTGGCCCAGGGAAGCCAAAAGATTAGACACCACTGGTGTAGGGAGTGATTGTGACAATAAATAAGTAATTATAGTATCAGGTGGAAATAAGATTTTTAAAGGAAAAAAAACAGTAGTGTTAGGGAATAAAGAGTATTGGGTATGTTTTAAATCATATGTCAGGGAAGGGACCTTGACAGAGGTGGCATTTCAACGAAGCCCTTGAATAAGTAAGGGAGCACTGCAGGTATTTGGTAGGAGACTTGCCTGGGCAGAGGGAAGAGTCCTTGCCTGGGCAGCACTTAACATTATGTGTTGAATAAAGTTAATCTAAAATAACCCCAACTAGATGCATTAGCATTATCTACATGCTTAGAAAACTGCTTTCATCCTGGAGTAAAAATGCCCCGAAGAATAAAACACTATACATTAAAGGCAAAGAAGATCTTAAAAAGAACTTAGTCCAACCACCTCAATTTGCCACTGAGAAAACTAGGTTATGAAAAACAAAACTATTGGCAGAACTGGGCTGGAACTAGAAATTAGGCCCTTTCAACCTCAGATTGTTTATTATTTTTCTGTGATCTCTGCTGGTGCATAAGAAAAGGTCTCAGGAGCTGTCTTGGCATACTATCTAGTTTAGTACCAAGTACAGTGAGCTGCATGATATATGAACCTTGTTCAAAATGACATGACAATTTAGAATCTTTTTTATTTCTCCATGAAATACCACATATATTTTATTGAGGGTCGAAAATCCCACTTTTACACAGTAAAAATGCTTTAAACTTAGGATCCCGACATGAACAGCATAAAAATATTTTTTAAAATCTAGAAAAAATAGAATCTCATTTTTGAAAAAAATCCTTGTCTCCTTTCAAAAAAAAAAAAAAAAAAAAAGGTTGTTCAATATGCTCCCATTAACTCTCTAGGAACATTTAAGTTGACTAAGGCTGACCTTTTTGCTTATTTTTCAGTTTAAAAATGTGAATCATTTTGCCATTTTCTATTTCTTTAGTCTTTATTTGAATTTTGTGAATGTGCTGCAAAACATCTTTCCCCAACAGGGCTTTTAGAATCATTTGCCTCTGCTAGTGCTCCATTATTATTCCCTTGCTTCCCAACTACCACCTATGGGCTGGGAAGTTGGTGCTGACCCGGTATTGTGATTCAGGTATAATTCTTGCCTGCCATTCTTCTAGCTCTGCCCTTCTCAAAAAAGTCACTGTGTGTCTCTGCCCCCATAATGCTAAGCGATCTTGGCATTAATGGTAAGTATTTGTCTGCAGACAATCAATGTATTTTTTTGTTGATGGCAATCTAGCTCCTTTTACGACAGTTTTTAAAACAAAAGTTTGTAAGTATTCTTGCAAGAAAAAAGGTGATAAATTATGGTAATTTATTTGGTTATTCTATAAAAAGGCAATTTTATTCATAATGTAGTTCTAGTATAATACTTATAGTACCATCCTAAAATTTCAGTCCTACGGCAGGGAGAGGTGTTTTGTGTAGAAAGGAAAAAGCACATGGGCAAAAGGAGGAGAAATTGCAAAGAATGAGTTTGTCTTCTTCCTCATTCCTAGTTTTAGAGATGATAGGATAATTTTCAAAGCAGGGAAATTTATACGTTTACATCAATTTTACTTCCTTCCTGGAAACCCTTCATTCAGAGGTCAAAGGTTTTAATGGCTGTAATAAATTAAAAGTGGGCCAGCCCAAATCTTTTTACACTCCTTGCATTATTAATAGGTGGGATTGTAATTCTCTTCCCTCTAATCTGGGCAGGGATTGTCCAATGGAATAATGTATAAGTGATTGTTCTATTAATGCCATACTGATTTTTAGACCTAGGTTTAAGAAACTTAGGCAACATCCACTCCTTGTCCCTTGAATACTTACTCTTGGATCTCAGCTGCTCACTCCATGGCAGACTAACCAGCTCTGTGAAGCCTTTACAGAAAAGAACTAAGATGTCTGACAATCCTAGCCGAACTCTTAGGTGATAACCAGCACCAATTTGGCAGCCATAGGAGTGAACTCATTTTGGAAAAAAACATCGTTTAGCTCCAGTCAAGCTGATGCAAAGAGACCAGTGATTAAGTCCCCCTGCCAACCTCCGCACAAATGACAGGTTAATAAGGAAAACAGATTATGTGTTTTTATGCCCAGAAGTTTTGGGTGGTACTTTATGCAACAGAACAGTACTCTTTGGTAAGCATCTTCACACGAATCGGGCTTGCTATTTCTATAAGAGTGTTTTATACATACCTGCACTAAATGAGTGCCCTCTCAACAAAGCCACCTCCCAAGAACTTCCCCAGATCAATGTTCACCTTCTTTTAGAGCAGATGGGCTAATTATTTGTTAGAAGGAAGCAATTTGATTGAAGTAATTCTCAACAAGGCTTGACTGATTAATGTGTATTTAAGCCACTCAGGAAGATTTAATTGGCAACATGTCAACCAATATAATAAAATAAATTGAAAAAATAGTACACAGTATAGGGAAAGTTATTGTCAGATGGTGGCCATAGTTTACAGAATACAAATTATGCAGACTGTCATTATGTAATAGTTTGGGCCTCTGAATTGAGTAGGTTAAATCAAGGATATGCATCTTGTGTTAGTTACTAGAAAAGGGGCACCTTATAGTGTATTGTGTTGTATTGTAAAATAATCCCTTGTTTACCTCTGTGCCTAGGTTGACTATTCCTTTATGGTAGGAGTGAAATCTACTGCCTCCATGTATGTTCCACCATACCTAGTACAGTGTATTTTGTATGTTGTAGGTATTCAATAAGTGTTTGTTTATAATATAATATAATAAGAAACACACCTGTATACATATTTACCATTTGTTTGGATGTCAAAGTGTACACAGACTTTACAAGATATTAACATAATATAATCAAATTGATATTATATCTTGCTTTTTTCTTTATTGCACTGGCTAAAATGTCTAATGCAATGTTGAACATATTGATTAGTTATAGTTCCATTACATTCATTGAATGACCCCAGACTAGTAATATTGTACCATTCTTTTTATTTATTTCCTGAGTCACTTTTCTCATATTTCAGTCAAGGTTTTTGCATTTATATTCATGAGATTGGCCTGTGATATTTTTAACTGTAATTTTTAAGTCAGGTATTGTTATCAAGTTTAGGCTATCCTCATAAACAAATTAAGAAAGGGTCTGTCTTCTTATAATTTCTGAGATAATAAATATATGCTAGCAGTCATCATAAAAGTCATTTGGGATTACATTTTCCTTTGTAGGAAAGATTTTTAAAATGAATTTAATTTCTTAGGTAGTTATGGGACTATTCATTATAACCACTGGAAAGAAAAAACATATTCACAGATGATATATTTGTAGAAACTTCAAAGATAAACTATTCATTGATATTAGAAATAATAATTTGGTTTAATAGCTTGCTGCATACAAGCTAAATTCAAAGAACATATGTAAGAAAAAATAAAGTGAAAATTTAACAATAAAAGATACTATTTCAAATAGCATCACAAATATGAAATCCCAAGTCATTAATGCAGCATATATTTTATGGCCACTCATGGAAAAATTATATTTTTAAAAAATTTATAGAGGATGTTAATAATTAGATGTATTTTGAAAAAAAATTGTAATGATCCATACTAAAAAGATGCCAATTCTCCTAAAATTGCCTATACATTTAAGGCAATTACAATAAAAGTTCCAGCAATTTTATTTGTTTCTGACCACAAGTTAATTCTAAGTTTATAGCAATTTGTAAAGGGTCAAGAATAGCTATCATAAGAATAAATCAATAAACAACAGAACAACATTGGTAGTGCAGAAAAAGATCTTAATTTAGACGGATATGTGATTTATGACAAAAGTAGAAGTTGATATTCATCTTTTAAAAAATATAAAACTTGGCCTCTACTTCAAACTGTTTCCAAAAGTTAATTCCAAATAATTAATAGACATTTATGTGAAAGAAAAAAGAGCAAAGCTTTTAGAAAATGATCTGAGACTATTTTTAGTGAGACAGGTTTAACCATGTTGGCCAGGATTAACATAAGCTTGAGGTAGGTAGGGAAATTTTTACAAAGGGAACACATAAAGCACTTCTTATAAATGTAATTTAATGAATTAGAATACATTAAAATTAAAAATTCTCTGTAAATTCAAACTAAGAGTTAAATGGTAATCCGTGAAGTAGACAAAATAATTCTAACACAATAATTAACAAAGGGCCTGTATCCTAAATATAGAAAAGTGTCTAAAAATCAGTACAGAAAATACAGAAAATCCAATAACATGTCAATGGAACAGACATGTTACAAAACAGCATATCTACATGGCAAGTAAATATGTGAAGAGATAATCTCATTGGTAATCAAAAGAATGTTGATTAAAATTGTAATAGAATGTCATTAAAAACCAGTAAATGAATAAAAGTAAATAGACAAACAATATGGAGAGGCAAGAGGTGGAGCAGCCAGAATCCTTATGCTCTGCTGCTCCAAGGTAGAACTGGCACAGTGACTTTCAAAAACGTTTTAACCAGTATTTACTAAAGCTGAAGGTGTATGAGCTTCATTATGATTCAGCAATTCTACTTCTGGGTATACACCCAGCAAAAACAACTGATGATACATAGATGATAGATAGATAGATAGATAGATAGATAGATAGATAGATAGATAGATAGATAGATAGGGAAGTTGGCATTATCTTTTAAAATCACAGTTATATATACCCTTTGACACAGAAATTTTATCTCTAGTCATTCCAAAGTTTTACTAGTATGTATGTGAAAGGATTATCCACTGCTGTATTACTAAACAGGTTCAAAATCCCTTATCTGAACCTTTGGAATAAATGTGTTATCAAATAGAGATTTTGTGTTTATTTTTAGGAGGATACCACCATGCGTATGTCATCTACTACATTATACCCTCAGTAGGATTCAGAGCACAACCCCATATCTAAATCACTGCCACTTCTGCAGTGAAATGTGTGTATATTCACACTAAGTAGAATAAACAAAAATATAAATACTATTACTGTCTACATATGGTTTTTTTAATGGTAGTCACTGATTTTTGAAACAATGCCATAAACATAGGCCAGTGGTGTGCAAACATGAGCATACATCAGGGTCACCCCAAGCCTTGTGAAAAGACAATTGCTAGGTCTTCACTTCAGATTGCATGATTCAGTAGGTGTGGGGTAGGACCTTGTGATTTGCCTTTTTTATGAAGTTTTTGAAGTTTTTATGAAGTTTATGAAGTTTTTTTGCCTTTTGCTGATGCTATTGGTTCTAGGGGTCACATTTTGAAAATGTCAATATTGAGGATAAACATTCTCTGCTTTTTCTATGAATAATATTTAATAAAACTTTAAGCTAAACTTAAAGCCTGTACATTTACATACACTGAATTTTTGCTATACTAGCATGCCTTGGAAAAGGGGACACATCAGTGTGATCATTGTAATTGGAGTGAAGTTACATGTCTAAGGGTAGATGTGGAGCAAGTTTCTCAAATGACAAAACCATACCACAGCATTATTAAACCTCATTATAGATGGCTTTATTTAAAATTTCTGGTGTCTTCTGTCTCATTACCATGGGTTTATAATAAGTTGTAGTCTTTGGCTCACAGAAAAATGCATGTTATTTAAGGACAGAACTTAATTGATCAGACATTTTCTCCCCATATTCCATGAAACATTTAAACATTCACACAATTTCTGCATTATTTACATAATACACAAGTGCTTTTTAACATTTTTAACACAATTAACATTTTAACACAATTTTTAACACACTTAAACATTTAAACAGTCACATAATTTCTGCATTATTTACATAATACACAAGTGCTTTTTAAAAATCTAACTTTTCCACACTCTTGGGTGATTAAATTTAGTTTGAGTGATGAGGTCTGATATTAATTCTTATAGTTATGCAGAAGTATCATTTAAAGTCTTCACCAGCAGGGTTTTTCAAACATCATTGCTAGTTTGACGGCTATGCCAAGTATTTGTTAATATTGATTTATCAAAATAATTCCAAGCATTTGAGACAATATGTCCTACAAACTGAATGCTTTTAGAATATTTGGATTCTTCAACCTCTGTTAATTACTGCATGCTTACATTTTAAAATGTGTTTATGCTTGGTCTTCATGAGTGTAATGATCATGTTACAAATGTCATATTGAGGGGAAAATACTCATCCATGAATAATAACATATTAAAGTTATTTTTCCTAGTCATACTAATCTGCAGTGGGTTCACATAGCTGTTTCAGTATTATTTTTGAGGCAATAAGAAAACATATCTCTAGTTATCCTTGTTCCATACCCAAGAAGAGTCAACATTATTTATTGGTATTATCTGTTGTTCTCTCCTCAGTATCATTAAGTTGTTTCTAGGAATGTAGCACAGTGCCAAACTTTTTATCAACATTGTAAATTTGCACAAAACTGCATTTTTCATTATTACTTTAAGAAGTTTGTCAAAATACCTTATTTGCCATAGTTTTTTTAGACGTGTTTCACCATGGTGCTTCTTAACACCTTGGAGTCAACCTCCTAAAGATCCACATTCACCTTTCATTGTCTCTTCGTGGTCTCTTCTGGCTCATTTAATGGCCAGAAAATTTGTTGGTACATTAGTTTTACTTCTGATTGTTTTATTACTATAATCAACACATGGTCATGACCTTTATTTTTCATGCCATATGTTGTGTTTTTCTGTTTCTTTAGTTCTTGCTCATCACAGCTGCAAAGTGAATACAAACATGCTGACCAATATATTACTATCACAGAGTAGCATTTTCTGATGTTCTGACTTTCTGCGTCTGATTTTCACTGTCACCAGAGTAGTAGCTTTAGATATAAAAATATTTTCATAGTTTAATTAAAACCAAGGTCAAAATATGAAGTGTAAAAGAATGCCAAATGCAGTAAAATATTATTAAAAATGCAATAGTATATCAGCAAACAGAAAGGGCACCTGTGACTGTTGGAAGCACACATATAAAAATTGTGACTCTGTGCAGATTAGATTTTTTTAGTCAAATTAATGTTGGCATAAAAATTGTCTTTAAAAATATTTTCAGAGATTATCAGATTTTGAAATTATAAATGCAGAATATGAACCCACATAAACAAAATATTAGTAAAAATTAAATATTCATCATTAGAGTCTTGATTAAATGAATCGTGGAACATGTTCTATGGTGTAATACTATGTAGCTCTCAAAAAGAATGAGAAAACTATATTTTCATATCAAAATATCCCTAAGATTTATTAAGTGTGACTAGCAAGATGCTAAATAATATTTGTAGTCTGTCTCTATTTCTGTAGAGAAGGGAAATAATTATAAGAAAACAGAAAGTGATGTATGAGAGAGGGTGGAAGAGAAGCTTTTCACTCTATGGTTTTAATTTGGTAGTTTTGCGACTTAACTATGTACAGCTTTACATAATGCTGCTAATTCTACTTAGGCAATTAAACACTTGGAAAATTAAAAGATAATTTTGTTAGGGAAACTACAGGAAGAAGAAGTATGAGTCCCGATGTGCTGTGTGGCACCAAATCTGCTTTGTGACACAAACCTAAAATTTAGCCACTGTAGCCATCCAATTTAGGGGAAGCCTCCACTAACAAATAAACCAATAACCATTGCCTTCTGGCATAGGTTAATTCCAGTGCTTTATTAGAACATCATCATTGCCATTTACAGCAGAAGACTAACAGAATACCTTTGTTTTATCAGTGGGGAAGTGGGAGAAAGGAGAATCTAGGATGGAATATGGCTTTCATGTAACTGAGATTTTGTAAGTTTGAGCACTTCCACTTCTAAGGTGCATAGGCTTTAGGCTCTTATTCCCAAAAGTACATGGCAGACACAGACATTCTCCCAATGTCCTAGTAGTGTCAGGAGCTGAGTTGCAATTAGGATGAATCATTTAAACTATTCTGTTGTTAGTTGTTAGACTGGTAGGTCAAAGAAAGTTCATTGACAGAGTTTAGCTAGCATTTTCAAAGGATTTGACAGTGTCTCCAGTGGTGGCCTGCTGAATGTGATTGAAATATGTGAGCTCTATAGCACTATATTTAGGTAGATCTATAACTATTTAAATATTTCTAGGAAATAATTGATTAATGGATCCTTGTTGAAAAGAAAGAAGGCTACTGGTGCGTTATACATTCTATTAGCCCTGCTGTTTAACTTTTAAACTTTGACTTATCTGTTTATTTTATAACTTCTTATTGCAAACTCACCATATGTGAGAGTCTATTAGTCTACTGGGAATGTTAATAGTGAGCACTGCTTCAGCATGCAAAATTATAGTCTAAGAGGGTTACTGAGGGGGCTTCAGGATGGCTGATTAGAGACATCCAGCACTCCCCTCTTCCACAAAGAGCCAAAATAGCAAGGAGATAATCACACTTCAAATAGAGAATGTAAGAGAGGACACAAATTCAACAGAGAAGTAGCAGGAAACACCTTAGGCATGGAAGGAGCGGTAGGTGAGACAGCCAGCTCATCTGGGATCAGCTGGGAGTCTGGAGTGTGGGGAAAGGGTGAGTGAGAGATCCCGAGGCCCACATTCTCACTGTGTATCTCTGTAATAATACCTACAGGAGAGCCTTTCAGCCTTTTCAAGCCCTAAGACTAGCATAGGAAGATGCCTGGATCACATGATGACATTGCCTCAGGGAAGGAGCTTATGCTGAGTCCCACACATACCCCAAGTCTAAGTAGCTATAGCACAGCATTATTTTGAAAGCTTATTCCTCAGCAGCCTGCATCTTGTTCTGGGACCCAACAGTCCCTGCATTGCCACATCCCAAAAGCTCTGCTGACATTCTCCCACATTCACATGGAGGGTTGCAACAGCACAATGCTGATTGGACCCAGCACTCTAGCACACATGGTCTTCTGTGCCCCAGGGAATGGTGGTGCAGTGCACTAGGAAGGGTGTGCCAGGGACAAAGAGAGTCCAAGTGTTTACTCACTAAAGCCTGAGAGCCACTTGCCTGGGGCAGCTAACACAGACAGCAACTCTGGAACCCCAGCAGCAGGACTGCTGTGCACATGCCCTGAAAACAGTCTCCCCATGCCCACCACTGTGGCTGTTGTAGCACCCTGGCTCTACTTCAGGAAGCCTGAGGATCACTCTGTCCTATTCACCACAGCTACAGCCTAAGTGTGTCACCAAGAGGCCTGAAGACAAGCCCACCCAGCCTGGCACTACCTGTAACCCCCGCAACAAACTCTAGTGCCCAAGCACACTGCCCAGATGCCTGGGGATTGCCCTGTTCCATTCACCACTGCTGGCATCTGTTCATTCCTCCTGGGGGCCTGAGGATGGGCCTACCTAACCTGCTACTGCCACCACAGCCAGAATAAACCTGAATACACCACCTGGGGGCCTAAGGACTGGCCTGCCCAGCATGTCATAGCTACTGCTAACACCAGTGCATACCACTTCAGTCAGAGCCTAAGGGTTGTTCTGCCACTGCTACTGACATCGCCCACACCACACATGCTGCCCAGGGGACTGAGAACCCACCCAACTGCCCATCCCACCTGCCCATCCCACCACTGCCACTGTCAACACCTAAGCAAGCCACCTGTAGGGTCAAGAATTGACCCAGTTGTACCTGTAAATACCGGTGCCTGCATATGCCACCTAGGGGCTAAAGGACAGACATGCTCATCCCATTGCTGCCACCCTGGGGTCTGAGGACTGGCCCATCTTACTTTCTTATCCCCGGAAAAATGTCAACAAACCTTTCACTAATAACCATAGCTTAAGACACTGAGGAAATCACAGGCATCACTGATGCTACTTACAGCTGAAGAAATCATAAGGAGACTACACTACTGCATATACCTAGAATCAAAACTAAAGTATTCTACCCAACTAACACCACAGATATATCTTCTGGTAATGTATTCCTCTATAAAAGCCAATCCAAACAATTAGAAGAAGTGAATATTACACCAGATATGCAGATATCAATGTAAGAACACAAGAAATATTTTTTAAAAAGAATACTTGACACCTCTAAAGGAAAACAATAATTCTCCAGCAACAGATTCCAATAAAAAGAAATTTATAAAATGCCAAAAAAGATTTCAAAGTAGTAATATTAAAGAAGCTAAGTGAGATAGAAGAAAGCACAGATAATCATTACAGAGAAATCAGAAAAACAATTTAGGATAGGAACAAGAAATTTATCAGAGAGGTAGATTAAAAATATATATAGAGAGAGAAATCTTGAAACTGAAGAATTCAATGAATGAAATAAAGAATTCATTCAAGATCTTCAACAGTAGACTAGATTAAGCAGAAGAAAGGATCTCAGAACTTAAAAACAGGTCTTTTGAAATAGTTCAGCCAGACGAAACATTTTAAAAAATGAAAAACAGTGAACAAAGCTTATATGACACATGGGACACCATAAAGTGAGCAAATAGGCAAATTTTGGATATTCAAGAAAATGAAAAGAAGGCCAAAGTCATAAAAATCTTTTTTAACAAATTAATAGTTGAAAATTTCCCAGCTCTAACAAGAAGCATAGACATCTAGATACAGGAAGCTTGCAGATCCCCAAATAGATAAAATTCAAAAGATGTTTTTTATGGCACATTATAGCCAAATTGTCACATCAAAGAAGAAGAGTACATTCTACAAACAGCAAGGGAAAGGTATCTAGTCATTTATAAGGGAACTCTCCATTAGACAGTGATTTCTCAATAGAAGCCTTACAGGCCAAGAGACAGTGGGATGATATGTTCAGATGGTGAAAGAGAAAAAAACCCTGCCACTCAAGAATACTATACCAAGCGAAGTTATTTGTGAGGAATGAAAGATAAATGGTCTCTCCCAGACAAGCGTAAACTAAGAAAATGTATTACAACTACACCAGTCCTACAAGAAATACTTAAGGGAGTTCTACATCTGGAAGAAAAAGTATGATACCTACTATCATGAAAACACATAAAAGTATAAAACTCATTTGTTAAGTAAACATACAAATGAGAAAGAGAAAAAAACTCAAATTTTACCACTAACCCCTGTTCACCAAACTGCAGTAATAAGCAAGAGAAAATAAAGGATATATAAAGCAATCAGAAAACAATGAACAAAATAACAGAAATAAGTCTTCATATAGCAACACCCTTGAATGTAAACATATTACATTAAAGATATAGACTGGTAGATTGAATTAAAAAAAAAAAACTGAGCCAAATGCATGTTGCCTACAAGAAATTCATTTTACTTGTAAAGACATGTACACTAAAAGTAAAGAAATGGAAAAAACAAAAAAAAGCTGTTCTACACTAACAGAAACCAAAAGTAAGTTGGGGTGGATATACCAGAAAAAAGCTACTTTAAGTCAAAAACGGTAAAAAGAGACAAAGAAGGTCATTATATAATGACAACGAAAGCAATTCAGCAAAAGGGTATAACAATTCTAAATAAATATGCAGCAACCCTGAAGCACCCAGATATATAAAGCAAATATTATTAGATCTAAAGGGAAAAATAGACTCTAATACAATAATATTTGGGAACTTCAACATCCCACTCTTAGCACTAGAAAGATCATCTAGACAGAAAGTGAACAAAGAAACACTGGATTTAAACTGGATTTTAGACCAAATGGACCTAACAGACATCTACAAAACATTTTACCTAACAGTTGCAGAACACAGCGCATGAAACATTCTCCAGAATAGACCATATGTTAGGCAACAAAACGAGTCTCAATACATTTCAAAAAATCAAAATCATAGCAAGCTTCTTCTCAAAACTCAATGGAAAAAAAAAGAGAAATACAAGAGGAACTTCAGAAATTATACAAATACATGGAAATTAAACAATATACAACAACCACTGGGTCAGTGAGGAAATTAAAAAGAAAATTTAAAAAAATATTGAAGCAAATAAAAATGGAAACACAACATACCAAAACATAAAAGATACAGCAAAAGTAATGCTAAGGAGGGAAGTTTATAACAATAAATGCCTATCTCAAAAAAGTAGAAATATTTCAAGGAAACAATCTAACGATGCACTTCAAGAAACTATATAGAAAAGCAAGAACAAACCAAATACAAAATTAGGAGAGGAAAGAAATGATAATAAAGACCAGAGTAAAACTAAATGATAGAGAGACTAAAGAAAAAACAATGCAATGGATCAATGAAATAAAAAGTTGGTTTTTGAAGAGAATAATAAAATTGATAAACCATTAGTTTGACCCACCAAGAAGAAAAAAAAAAGAGAGAGAAAACTGAAACAAAATCAGAAAGAAAAAAATGAGACATAACAATTCATATCACCAAAATAAAAAAGATCATCAGACTATTATGAACAACTGTACGCTAACAAATTGGAAAACCTGGAGGAAATGATTAAATATCTGGACACATGCCAATCCGGCAAGATTGAATTAGGAAAAAATAAAAAACTTAAGGAGACCTATAACATAATAAGATTGAATCAGTAATAAAAAGTATTCCAACAAATTAAAGTCCAAGATTGGATGGCTTCACCACTTAATTCTACAGAACCTTTAAAGAAGATTTAATATCAATTCTTCTCAAACTTTCTGAAATACTGATTTATCTTTGTATTCCCAGAATAAGCCACATTTGATCATGAAAAAAAGAAAATGGCTTACCATTTCCAAAGCTAGAATCCTCTTACATCTTTGGACTTTGCATATGTGTGTGTGTGTGTGTGTGTGTGTGTGTGTGTGTGTTTTCCATACGCATCCACACCCCCAGGGTATTCACACAAAAAGCATAGCTTCTTTCCTCAACAAGGACCTTGAGTTTTTTTTTTCTACTAAGGCCCATCTGTGGGACAAATTAATATAAAATGTGTTAAGGTGTTTTCTTAGGATACTAAAGTTAAAAAAAAAAAAAACTCCTGGTAAAGTACTCATAATTATAACAACTTAAAGCTTTGACAAATGTCACATTCCTAGCCATAGCAATTTGTGGAAGAGTTGAGGAAATACAGGTTATTCATCTATCCTTTCCTGTATCTCTCATGTTGATAATGGAGCTAATGGAGTTTGTTTGATTTTGAACATCAACTAAGTAAACCATGGTCTGATATTTCAAAGATGGTCTTACGTCTGAGATGTTAAAATAAAATATACTATAAATCAAGGCAGTATTATTATGAGGTCAATTTTCAAGGAACAGTTTCCCAATAAAGGTTTATCAAGTAAATCTTTAAATAAGTTTTCAGGACACAGCATGCTTTGAGCTTTTCCAGTTAATTAAATATAACTAATTTTCCAGTAGAGGATTTTAAGTCAGTTAAAGCTACCTTCGGAAATATTATAGGAAAAGATTGTATTATATTAATTTATTTGAAGTATTAAAAATTGTAGATAGCGCATGATTTAAATGGAATCCTCTTCTCAGAATGTTAACCACTATAATGTCTAGAGACTACACACTTACAGTACTCTCAGGACAAACTCTGAAAAATAGACCATAAATCCCACAGGGTGGATATACCAAGTTGCATATAAAGCAAACCAAGCCCTTAAGACAGGAAACAGAACATTCAATCTCAATCCAGAGAACTTTAGAACAGATATGTTCAATTCAAAGTTTTCTTCATTGCTTGCATACTAGGCTCTGAGAAAGCCAAAAAAGTAACCAAGAAATGTATACTCAGAACCGACTTTCTGAAGCTGACAAAGTAAAATCCCAAAATGATATAATATGTAGGCATGGGATGTATTTTTGATACCCAACTCAGATTGTATAACAAATAAATGTCAAGGGTATTCCTTTCAAGCCTCACCTGGTTACAGCAAACTTAGAGACACATATAGACACAGACACCACCTATAAATATTTTTTGCTCTAACATAAGCCAAAGCTTTGGAGAAAAGGTAATGTAAGGATATTTGGAGGACTCCACAAGTACATGTAAGAAGCAACCTTGAATTTTAGGTGAATAGTAGTGCCATGTATTGGATGAGCAGGATGCATCCAGGTAGTGTGAGGCCTGAAATTTATTCAAATCAGCATTACAAATGCAAAATTAGTGATGAGAGTAAATATTTATGTAGAACAAAAATAAATCACAAGTTATAAATTTAAAAAAACAAACATTTCATAAACATGAAAAAAATAAAAAATTTTTTAACTGCTTAATTATTTTGACTGTTTATTCTTTAATTCTTCTCAGAAAAAGAACTTTGTAATATAATTTTCTCTAGAGAAAATGAATACCTAATTCTACCTCTCCTTTAGCATGGTTGAATGAAATTTGTTTTTATTACTAATTGTAGAGATCAGAGGTGCAAGAGCCCTTTGCAGGAACTGGGAAGGGGTTACAGAAATGTGTTCACATGTTTTTGTTAATTTCTGCAAAAGTTAGATATTTTAACTAAGATCAGTTCAGACAACTATGTATTTTCACTCTGCTGTGGTCTATATGTTTGTGTTACCCTTCAAATTCATATGTTAAAACCTAATCACCAGTGTGATGGTATTAGGAAGTAGGGCCTTTGAAAGGTATTTAGGTCATGAGTTCAGAGTCCTTCTGAATGGAATTAGTGTCTATCAATGCCAAAGAGCCCCCAAAGAACTGCTTACCCCTTTCTGCCATGTCAGATACAGCAAGACAGCACCATAAACCAGGAAAAAAACCCTCATCACCAAATCTGTTAATGCCTTGACATTGAACTTCCCACGTTCCAGAACAGTGGGAAATACATTTCTGTTGTTTATAAGCAGTTTATGGTACTTCGTTGTAACATCACAAGTGGACTAATGCACTCCAACTTCTCCTTTTACTCTATCACGTGACTTCATGTCAAGTGGTATTCATATGGCTACAAGAAGTTTTGGAATCTGGCTGGGGGATATTGAGGAATATATGTAGTCTAAGTTTAGTCGGATGTATTTGTGTGGTTTGTAGTCAGTCCTGATTTTACTTGGATTACTGCAGATTATCACAGTGTGGAAACAGCTTCCACCAATACACCTCAAAATATATATAAGGTTAGCCACTGCACAAAAACACAGTCACAATGCCTTTCATGTTGTACAGATAATATATGAAAAACATTGTACAGAGGTTTTTAAAAATTTGAAAGTACTAAAATTTACATGGCATTGCCGTTAAATTCTAAAACTGAGGCTGAAAGTGTCATGAAGGGAAATACATAATGAAACTATATGATCAATTTCAGTTAAAGTATCTTACTTAAAAAAAAAGTGACACTATGCCCACATTGCTTTGGTGCTTCCTGAAGCATAAAGTTTCACTGGCTTCATGGTAAACCTGCTTCTATATATACTGTAAGGAAAGGTAGGACTTTAGACAGGTTTGGTTTAAAATCTCAGCTTCATTACTTAAGAGTTCAGTGATAAGGACTACTTTTTCAGCCTTAGTTTCCTCGTCTATTAAATACTTCACTTGAGAAGCTTGAAAGATTCATTTATTCAACAACTGCTGATTGAGTATCTAAACAGAAGGTGCTGGGAATGAGTTTAGCATATGCCAGGAACTGAAAGATTTATGTGGCTGACAAAGAGTTGAGCAAAGCAGAAAACATTAGTAACTGAGATCTGAGAGAAGGGACCTCACACATGGCAAAGAGTCTTAACTTTATTATTATTGCAAGTAGCTTATTTTAAAATTTTAAACAGGAAGTGACATTCATGATTATTTCATCCATGTGGAGACTTATAATATTGACAGCAACAATTGTTTTGGGGGCATAGATTATGTTACAGGCAAGATAATAATCACTATACAAATGCTTTTTTATGTAATCCTCTTAGAAACCTATTGAAATAGTGTCATTACCTCCAATTTGCAGCGTTAGAAACCAAAACTTGGAAAAATTAATTAACTTACTGGAAGCCAGGAGGTTAGATTTGGACAAAGTGGGTTCAAACCTAGGTCTCTATTACTTCAAAGCCTCTTCTGCAAACTGTAGTTAGCCTGTTACCACCTAGCAGGAGTCTGATCACTTCAATATCACTGAGATTTAAGGGAGTGTTTGCACCATTTGGGTGAGTATTATTGGAAATCTCTTGTCTGTGCTCTAAATTTTTCTGTGGGGAAAAATAGACTATCCTTTTAAATTGAGAAAATTTTTTAATGTTTTGTCAGTTAGCTCAGTAAAGAAAAGGTGCTCTTTTGCAGTTTAGAGTGTGGCTTTTTGCAAATGCAATACTATTTTAAAATGGCATCCAGTACAACAGATGTTTATTTGTCACAGTACACTTCGGGATATGGGTTCTTTATTTTCCTCTGCTCCAGCATCCACTCTGGATCAGAAATTCTTGGCATAAATGTAAGTGTTGAATCATATCAAATGAGTAAGAATCTTTACTATTAGAATTTGACTCGTCTCCTAAGGGTCCTTTAATTATTTCTTATTTGGGTCTCCTTTATCTAAATTGACTGGGTAATTTCATCGAGGTATGAGATATTTGCCTAATCTTCTCTATAGGCTTCTGTTTAGCGCTTGTAATTAAAGAGTGAATGATAGCCCTTGGCAGATCCTCTAAAATAACTCAGGTTTAATATAGCCAAAGACTTCCCTTATAAAGTCACATCGGGCCAACTTAATTATTCTGAAAAGTAGAGATTAGAGATGAGCCATGTGAAGATGCGTTTTCTTTGAAAGAAAGCAGACAGTGACTGAGGAACTTTTAGGTCTATGTATAAAATGGTAGAGTTGGATCCATGCCAGAGGGAGTTAAATCCACAATAAGCAAATAGTAACACGCAAAAGAGAAGCTCTTTCCCGGGTGCAATGGCTCATGCTTGTAATCCTAGCACTTTGGGAGACCGGAGGTGGGTGGATCACCTGAGGTCATGAGTTCAAGACCAGCCTGGCCAGCATGGCGAAACTCCATCTCTACTAAAAATACAAAAATTAGACGGGTATGGTGGTATGTGCCTGTAATCCCAGCTACTCAGGAGGCTGAGGCAGGAGAATCACTTGAACCCGGTAGGCGGAGGTTCCAGTGAGCCCAGGTCGTGCTACTGCACTCTAGCGTGGTGACAAAGCTAGACTCCATCTCAAAAAAAAAAAAAAAAAAAGAAAGTCTTTTGTTGATGTTTCTACTGTCTGTATTCTACTTCCTTTTCATTTTTTTCTTTGTTGAGAAAGCACTGAAAGAACATTTCCAATTTTGTGTTAATCAAGAAAATGATTGTTTTCTGATGGATTTCACCTTCATATTTCATCAATACAATTAAATTCTCTCCAGATAAACCCACCTATTTCTTCATTTAGTAATTCTTTCCTTAACTTTATAATTTAACCACTAAGTATTTGCATTTGGTCAGCCAAGTGTCAGCCAAGTGTTAGAAACTCAGCAGCAGTAAAGTCAGTGCAACATTTGGTAGATACAATTTCATAAATGACTGGAAATTTTCATTTCACATATCAGTCAATCTAGCTAGACCAGTGGTACCAATGCCTGACTTTCATCCATACCTTTATTCAATTAATTAAGTCATAAAATGCAACCTTTAAGTAGAAGTCAGTAATACTAAAGTGCAGAGAAGGAATCTGTAATCAGTTTGAAAGATTTGAATTTCTGTTAAACACTTAAGATGTCAGGCTTGGTTGTGCCCTAGACAGAGAATTTCCTAGAACAACTGGTAGTTACTTTAGATTGCTCTGTATTTTAAACAGAAGATCATACAATTATTTAGCACTTCAGAGATGAAAATAGCTTTTGCATGCAAAAAATGACAGAAAATGCAGTAGGTTACCATGTGACTTTGTGCTCATTTCCACCATACCTCAACCTAATTTAATTTTAAAGGACATTTTAAGTAATGTTTTGACTATAAAGCTCTTGCATCTGATTAAAACATGACAAATCCTTATGTGAACTAAAGTTATAGGAACAAAAATATTTTTGAAGCTGTGCAAAGGTGCTAAGAAGTTGACAATTTTGATTGTTGACAATCACTGATGGAATATGGTTGAAATCTGGTACCAAAATAATAGCTATTAAATGGGCAATGGCTACGATTTTTGTGACTGAATAAGGGCTGTGCCTAAACAATTATACTCTAAGGCCTGATAGGGTAGCTACTAACCAGATATGGCTGTTGAACACCTTAAATGTGGCTATTCTAAATTTAGATGAGCTAAAAATGTAAAATACACACCAGCTTTGAAGACTCATTGTGAGAAAATATAAAACTCGCATAATAACTTCTTTATAGAATACAGGTTAAAATGATAATATTTTGGGTATATTAAGCTAAGAAAAACATTATTAAAATTAATTTTGCTCATCTTGCTTTTTAAATGTAACTACTTGAAAATTTAAAATTACATACGCAACTTGTATTTGTGACTCTCATTATATTTCTATTTGATGGCATTGCTCCAAGGGGACAGACAGAGGCAAATAAATTGTTAAAGAGTAAATTAAAATCCATTTGAACACATTTGGCAGTTATATTAACCTTCAAAATATATCTTAGAAGCCTTTTCATATCTTACTGAGTAATTTTGTCCCTTAGATAACCATCCTTATTAACATATACATAAGAGACCAACATATACAAATGCACATGTGCACACACACAGAGTTCTCAGAAGGAGGAGAAATGAAATAACTGGAAGCAGCCTGGCACGCTAAAAAGAAAACTGGAATAAGACTAAGAAAATTTGGATTTGTTAAAAATGTTTGCCACAACTGTTTCTAGTGACAATAAGTCACTTATTTGACCAGATCCTTAGTTTTCCCATTTGTTAGTTGACTGTGTTAAAGAATCTCAAAGACTTTCCTGCTCGCACATGCAAGGAATCCTTAAGGCAGATGAAAAAGATATAGGATTGACATGAGAGTTGATTAGAAAACTGGACTTCACTGGAGAAAATGGAGAAAAGCCATTATAAATGCCCAGAGCAAGATAACCCTTGAAGAGTACAGAGACAAGCATCCCAGGAAGATGTCTTTTCCCATTAGCCTCTACCCTCTGCTTACACATTTCATCTTCACAGAAGAAAGTGTATCCCCCTCTCTCTCTGAGTCTATATTCTTGTTGAACAGATTTTTTTTTCTCACAACCACCCCAAGTCACATTTTGTCCCTCTGGTCACTTGGATTCTTGCTCCTACCCAACATCATTTGTTGTCTTTTGATTTCACATAGGAAGTTCTCCTGTGAATGATCTTGCATTTGCCTCCTTTCTGACTTAGTTTTCTATTTGCGAGCCCCTATCTTTAAAACAAGATTCAAAGCCAAATTTCTCCAACTTCCAACTTCCGAAGCTTTTATGCGACCTCATCCTTACCTTGCAGGTTCTGGAACTGTTATGGGAAAGAGGTTCCAATCCAGACCCCAAGAGAGGGTTCCTGGATCTCGCACAAGAAAGAATTCAAGATGAGTCCATAAAGTGACAGCAAGTTTATTAGGAAAGTAAATAAATAAAAGAATGGCTATTCTATAGACAGAGCAGCCCCAAGAACTGCTGGTTGCGCATTTTTATGGTTATTTCTTGATGATATGTTAAACAAGGGGTGGGTTAGTCATACCTCCCCTTTTAGACCATCTAGCATAACTTCCTGACCTTGCCATGGCATTTGTAAACTATCATGGCACTGATGGGAATGTAGCAGTGAGGACAGCCAGAGGTCACTCTCATGGTCACCTTGGTTTTGGGGGTTTTAGCCAGCTTCTTTACCGCAATGTTTTATCAGCAAGGTCTTTATGACCTGTATCTTGTGCCAACCTCCTATCTCATCCTGTGACTTAGAATGCCTTAACCATCTGGGAATGCAACCCAGTAGGTCTCAGCATTATGTTGCCCAGCTTCTATTCAAGATGGAGTTGTTCTTGAATAGAACACCTCTGACAGATCTTCTCAAAAGGTAAGGCACATTTAGGTCTGGGGTAGGATGGAAGGGTACGGGATGAGAGATTTTCCGTTGTACAAAGGGAAGGCAGAAGTTAAAGTAGGAAGGCCAAGAAAGAAAGGAAAATCTCCTTCCATGGCGTGAGTGTCGTCTTCCTTTATTTGTGATTCCAGTTATTTAATTACTTCTATTGAGTATTGAACTTTCCATCTAGAGGTATGCAGACAAATCATATTCTCTGCCCTTGGAAATCTGTACAATACTAATGTTTCAAAATATTAATATGTGAGCTTTCTTCTTTCCTTTTCCAAATTTCCATTTTGGTAGGATGATCTCCCCAAAATCGCCTTTAGGTGCATGAGAACCACACCCCAAAATGTCCTTTTTCACTTCTATCAAAAGTTCTCTCTTTTTAACCCGATTATTTCTGAAATGAGCTGAAATCTGTAGCCTAAATATATAAACATAATGATGTGATTTTATAATCAGTTTAGATTAAGTGCAAAACGTATTTAAAATGTAAGAGTGTCACCTGTTCAAGATGCTATCATTAAAGTGGTTGGTTGTTACTTATACATAAGTCCCTTGAGTAGTTAATGCAAGGCCATTCTCAATAATACCCAGAGCTACTCAAATATGATTCATAAAAGAGACAGTCCTTGAATCTCCTCTCCAGGGCAACCTGAGGTAATAGGTAATCACCGTATTCTGTCCTTTTGCTATTACAGCTATCAGAACTGCTTGACAAAATTGCTATCCCTCTCCTAACCAGGTAAGACTAACCCAAAACTCCTTTGGAGAAGAGGAGAAAGGGGAAGTGTTGCTGGCCACCTGGAAACACAAAGTTCTTGACTCCCCACTTGACTCTCATAGGCTGATACTCTAACCCTTATTCTCCATGGGCTAGAGAATCCCTTCTCATCTGCTCATTGAAACTCACAGACAAAAGGTGCCTGCATTTATTTTACTCATAGGTGTCAAGATTCCATTTTCCATGTTGAAGTTATTTCAAGTACCTTTAACCATACTACAAGAAATACAGTAGTATGGAGACCCCATAGGAAATGTATAAATTGCCCTGCCCAAAAACAATACAGTTAAAAGTCAGAACAAAGAAAAGCTGGTGTGAACCCCAAATATCTGAGGGAGGTCTCAGTTAATTTAGAAAGTTTATTTTGACAAAGTGAGGACATGCACACATGACACAGCCTCAGAAGGTCCTGACGACATTTCCCCTAGGTGGTCAGAGCACAGTTTGATTTTATACATTTTCGGGAGACATGAGACATCAATCAACATATGTAATATGAACATTGGTTCCATCTTGAAGCAAAGGAGGGACAACTTGAAGTGGGGAGGGGGCTTCCAGGTCATCGGTAGAAAAGAGACAAATGGTTGCATTATTTTGAGTTTCTGATTAGCCTCTCCAAAGAAGGCAATCAGATATGCATTTATCTCAGTGAGCAGAGGGGCGACTTTGTATAGAATATGAGGCAGGTTTGCCCTAAACAGTTCCTAGCTTGATTTTCCCTTTAGCTTAGTGATTTTGGGGCCCCAAGATTTATTTTCTTTTCAAACAAGATTCTCTAATTCTAGTTTATTTGTTAGATCCTATGTATTTGGCTATTCTCATCTCTTGTACAAGTGAGGTTCACTAGTCCGAACCTCTTTACTTTCCATTTTGGCGTCTTTTGGCAAGGTCACACTGAGTTTATACAGTGTACCTGTGTCTAGGTTCATGGCTTTCCAAGTATGCCATCATAAAATAGCTTGTACTATTTTACTGGGAAATTAAACCCAGGACTATAAATCAAATTCTTTGTTGCTCTTCCTGGATCATTTTTGCTTTTTTTTTTTTTTTTTTTTTTTTGTGAGACAGAGTCTTGCTCTGTTGCCCAGGCTGGAGTACAGTGGCACGATCTTGGCTCACTGCAACCTCCACCTTCCAGGTTTGAGCAATTCTCCTGTCTTAGCCTTCTGAGTAGCTGGGACTGCAGGCATGAGCCACCACACCCATCTAATTTTTGTACTTTTAGTAGAGACAGGGTTTCACCATGTTGCCCAGGCTTGTCTCGAACACCTGATCTCAGGTGATTCACCCACCTCAGACTCCCAAAGTGCTGGGATTATAGGCGTGAGCCACCACACCTGACCTTCTTTATTTGACATCATATGTGATTCCAGCTCAAATTAAATTGAGAATTAAAACAGATAGTGAATGTAGCCCTTTATATAGAAAAACAAAGTTCAAGTCTCTATAGTTGTAGCTAACAAGCAGTTGAAATGTCAGTCTGCTTTTTCCTGAGCAATTATGATGTAACTAAGGCACTAAATCTGCCGTATTTGTGGTGGTAGAGGCAGGAGAAGTCATTGAAATGCATCTTTAGTTATGAATCTCATTGTAAAAAGTTGTTTTTGTTCTTCCTTAGACTCTGTCTTTAAATATGTAAAAAGGCTGTAGTTAGCCCATGTTGTTGTCATGGGATCCATAATTTAGCTAGAGCTCACCAGTAGTAAGGGACACAATATGGCTCAGGAAGTACTAGTAGAAACAGAACAGGACTCATGGAGGAGAAAAAGCTGTATGGGTGGACTAGGACATCGGCCTGCACCAGGAGAAGAAAGACAACACCAACTGCAGGGTTTGGGCAAGACAAATAATGTCCTTGTGCAGTTTGCTAGTCCATGTATAAGATTTTCTGTAAGAACTGAGCAAATAGAGGAATCCATGACACTTACTGCTTGCCTATTTCCTGGGTGACGTTTGTTGTGTACATGCTGCCTGTTGCTTTTCAAAGCAAACCAGAAAAGTGAGGATGTTTGCCAAGAACAAAGGTGTGATGGACTTCTTTGGAAATGCTTCCTGGAGAAGAGTTATTTACTGTTAGTGGTTACGTCCATTCCTCCCCTATTGCAGTCTGTTCTGTTGAGGGTTGGCAGGATACAAACAAAGTCTATGATTCTTTCCTCTCTTCAATGTTCCATTCCTGGAGAGGAAACTACTAAGGAGAGAAAGGGGCAGAGTTGGCCACTCGAATAAAGCTGAATGAATACCAAAAATGTTATCCTAATGACCATAATCATTTTTCATTTTAACATAACAGAGACTTTGAATCCACGGGAAATTATCCTAGGTAACAACGTGACTACTAACATAACATTTACAATAGTGTTCAACGATTTATTACCATATGCTTGGATATTATTGGCATGGCATTTATAACAAAAAAAACTTTCTCTGCTTACTCTTTTGTGTTCAGGGACAATGCTATTACATTCAAATATTTAATTATGTCTGTTTCTCTTAGGCTGAGCTACATCGCGGAAAAATATACTCTAGCAAGAACACTGACTATTCTATTTGCACTGCCTATTCTGCTATGCAGAAGCCATGGGCCTACTGCTGAGTGATATATTTATATCTTAGATAAAATAATAGTTGCTTTCTCACAAGCAACACAATTACTTTGCTTACATAGGGAGATGGAGAAAAACAAAACTAACAAAGAATGCTTCGTGGAGATTAAAAGACTGTTTAAACCAAAGAGCATGTGCATTTCAATTTATATGGTGAACGAGTAGGAAAGAATTATTACTGGGAGAAAAACAACACATCTGATTATGGAGCACACTTGAAAATATGAACAATACTCTGTTCATGAGCATAAGTATGAAGTGCTGGGGTTAGCATCCGGCTGATCAAAAGCATCTTGCAAAGCGAAGAGGAAGTGCTCATTATTCAATGACTTCCAGGCTTTCACACAACTGTAGTAACTTTGTTTACAAAGTCATCTGATTTTAATTGAAAAAGATCTTGAGATGCTCAGAGATGTATAGAGATGACAGATTAATGGCCTTCTCACACAGCCTAATATTCCTGCAAATCCTTAAAACTGCATCTTGTGAAACTAATATGAGAAAAGGGTATGGCTTTCCACATTCCTGCCAGCTTAGGTTATCCATCTGACTGGCGTATGACTTGCAGCTGGATTATGACTAAAGCAGGGACAGATGACTAATATGAGCTGCTGCTTCTAGAAATCAGTAGAACGCGTCCTAATTCAATCACGCCCACTCAGTATTATCTCTCCCTCTAAACTTCTCTTTGTATGCACTTTTAAATATCTGTTATTTTTTCATTTGTCTCATATGGGAGGTTAATGAGAATTACATAAACTGATAATGACTTTTCTTTAAGTATTAAACACACTATTAATAGGCTAGAGAAATGACACAAATCATGCAAATAAGTAAATAAAAAGCTGAATCTGCAGAATAAAATGTTAGCAATAGATCACATTCAAGTTGCTGGTAATTAAATATTGTGAGCCTAAAATAAGTATCTCTGTTGCCAAAGAACATGCTTTCAATATAATTTTCCTTTTATCTTCTGAAGACCATATTATTTTATTATACTTTCAACATTCTTTATTTTTGGTGGTATATAAATAATCTATAAAGAATCTGCATTAATATGGTTTATACCATCAAAATTATCACTTACAACTGACAGAATTTTAAACCCCAAATGAAACTATTTAGAAACCTAACCATAAATATATAATACCCTGTCATTTTTTTCAGCCTTATTTTTCTTTCTTTCTTTCTTTTTTTTTTTTCTTTTTTTTTTAGACAGAGTCTTGCTCTGTCACAAAGGCTGGAGTGCAATGGCACAATCATGGCTCACTGCAACCTCTGCCTCCCGGGTTCAAGTGATTCCCCTGCCTCAGCCTCCCAAGTAGCTGGCATTACTGGTGCCCGCCACCACACCTGGCTAATTTTTGTATTTTTAGTAGAGACAGAATGTCACCATATTGGTCAGGCTGGTCTTGAACTCCAGACCTCAGGTCTGGAGACCTGCCTCGGCCTCCCAAAGTTCTGGGATTACCAGCATGAGCCATCGCACCCGGCCTCAGCCTTACTTTCCTTAAGTAATAATCAGTGAAATCACTCATTCAAGATGCCAATATATATGAATACATTTTTCTGCACACACACACATACATACACACACACACACACACACACACACACACACACACACAAGTGAATTAGAAGATGGCTCAATATAAAATGTCCCAAACAAATCAGAGAATGTTAAGAGATGGATGAAACAGAATAGAGTGTAAGACACAAATAGAACATGCTTACAATGTTTAATCTATGCACTGTTGCAGTCCCAGAAAGAAAAAAAAAATAAGCCAATGGATCAAAATTAATATTTGAAGAGACATAACACAAAAATTTTGTAGGCCCGGGTGCAGGGGCTCACGCCTGTAATCCCAACACTTTGGGAAGCCGAGGCAAGTGGATCACCTGAAGTCAGGAGTTCAAGACAAGCCTGGCCAATATGGTGAAACCCCATCTCTACTAAAAGTACAAAATATTAGCTGAGCATGGTGGCGGGCATCTGTAATCCCAGCTACTCAGGAGGCTGAGGTAGGAGAATAACTTAATAACTTCAACCTGGGGGGCAGAGGTTGCAGTGAGCAGAGATCCTACTATTGCACTTCAGCCAGGGCGACAGAGGAGACTCTGTCTCAGAAAAAAAAAAAAAAAAAAAAAGAAAAGAAAAATTAATGATTAACATATATATTTGAGAAGTGAAACAAATTGCCAACAAAATAAATACAAGTGAATCTACACCAAGTCACATCATAGTAATACTGCTGAAAAACAAAGACAAAGAAAAAAGACCAAAATCAGCCTGAGGGAAAGCAAAAACACAGTACATTGAAAGGGCAAGAGTGAGAGTGACATATGACTTCTCCATAAAAACTCTCAAAGCAAGAAGGCAAACGAATGGGATCTTAACAGAGCTGAAGGAAAACAACTACTAGAAAAGTATTGTTATACTTAGTGAATATATTCTTTAAAAATAAGGTAAAATAAAGATTTTTCAGACAAAGGCTGAGAAAGTTTATCTCAGCAGACTTCCACTATAAGAAAAAGATAAAAGGGAAGATTTCATCAGGCAGGAGAAAATTTACCCAAATAATTAAAATATAACTAAAAATTTTAAAATTTAGTTAACTTTAAATTGTATGGATGATTAAAATGAAG
This sequence comes from Homo sapiens, assembly GCF_000001405.40. Taxonomy (NCBI): domain Eukaryota; kingdom Metazoa; phylum Chordata; class Mammalia; order Primates; family Hominidae; genus Homo; species Homo sapiens. The sequence continues at coordinate 74,368 of NW_025791791.1, forward strand.
GATGATTACCAAACAACATAGGTAAAAGGTGATAAATGCAGTATAAAGTTTAGATTATTGCACTAGTATCAGAATTAGAGTGTAATGGGTTAAAGATGAATATTATAGTCTCTAGTGTAACAATTAAAGAGTAGTTAAAATATGGATTTCTAACAAGTTACTTGTAGAACTTGATAAGAATGAATGATAAAATTATCCAATCTATTCAAAAGAAAGCAGCAGTCAAAGAAGATAGAACAGCATACAGATGGACCAAATACAAAAAGTTATATAGTGGTAGATTAAAACCACCCATATCAGTAATTATATTAACTATAAATGGACTAAACTCTCCAAGAAAAAGATTAAATTATTGCATTAGATTTAATGAAAAAGTGCTGCTACTTGAAAGAGACAAACATTAAATAAAAGGATGTACAAGGTTTGAAAGAAGGATGGAAATTGATATACCATGTAATTACAAACTAAAAGCTGGGGGGGCCATATTAACCTCAGGAACACTAGATTTTAAAAAAGAAATATTGCTGAAGATAATTAAACATAAGACATACCATAATGGTAATGGGAATGATCCAATAGTAATGTATCAGAATTCTATGTATTTTTCAATAACAGTTTTCAAAATTATAAAGTGAAAAGTGAGATAAATAAGGAGAAATACATAATTATCATGACAGACTTTAAATTACTAATAACTCCAATCTTCAAGGCCAAAGTCTTCAAATCTTTCTCTGCTCCATCTTTATATTACTTTTTCCTCTATGTATGAGCAATCTCCCTCCTTTTTATAGGGATTCATTTAAGACCCAACCAGGTAATCCTGGATAATCTCTCCATCTCAAGATCTTTAAATTAATCGCATCTGCAAAAATCCCTTTTATTATTATTATTGCCATATAAAGTAACATTCACGGGTTCCAAGGATTAGGGTGTGAACATCTTTTGAAGAGCCATTTTTAAGCCTACTACAAGTCCAGTCAGATATCCTTCCCTATCTGATGGACACTTGCTGAGATGACAAATCCAGCTTCCTATAAAGTGCTGATTCTCTTCCTGTAAAGTACTGATACTTGTCATTATGTCCTAGGTCTGATCTTCAACATAGTCAATGCTGTAGCCATAGGAAATGAGTTTCTCTTTAAGCACTGCTAATTGTACCTTGAGTCAGTATTTGTCTGTTTTGGGGCTTTCATTTTCCTTCTTCAGTGCATCAGTTACATCCAACAATAACTAACAATATGACAATACTTATAATTACAACATCCACCTTCTCTGTCCAGTATAGGAGGTATTGCGTATAACAATTTATTTCCTTCCACCCAGAAACATTCCAATTTGTGATGGATGAAAATTTTGGTAATCTCACTGCTCTAGCTCCAGCATAGCACAGTGCATAAACAGTTCACTTACCGCCAATGATGAGGTCATGATACCATCTGACCATAGAGGAATTCAACTCCAGATTCCTGTTTCTCCAGATTCCTTCCTATGATGAACCAGTTTAGGTTATTCACACACATTTACCTGAGGTTGGGTTCTTCAGAAACATAACCTGAAGTGAAGATTCATGTGCAAGTTCCCAGGAAAAGCCAGTACAGAAATGAGGGGAGTGGAAGAAGCAAAGCAAGGGGGCAATTTCAGGCAAAGTTCTGGGGAAGGTAGCTTTAATTTTATCCTAGAAGGAGACTCAGGAGTATAAGTTACTCCTTGGAGTTCATTATGGCCCAAGGCAAGGGAGCTGGTTTTCGTTATGCTGCACCCATCTGTCAGTTGCTATGGGGAGAGGTAGCTCTCAAGCACTAGTAGCTTTTTATGCTTTGGGAAAGGGGCTCTAGAAACCTGAGAAAAATTCTTCAGAGATGAGTTCTAAAAGCAAGCACACTCAAGTCTAAGAAGGGAACATAGGAATAGTAAAAAAGGATCTGAGGGTACCTGAGCTTAGCACTGAGAGTGACTGGAACATATAACAGGTGATGAGCTGTATGCTACCACTGCCTCCCCCAACATCTCCCCTACCAACGTTCCTCTGCCCTGATCTGTTATCATTCTCTCCCTCACTCCCTCACTGTGCTTCACACATATTTTCCTTCTCTTTGCTCTTTAAATGCACTGTCCTCAAGTATGTTTGATTTTGCTATTCCCTCTGCTTACAATGCTTGTCCCATAGATATCAACATGATACCTCATCTGCTTGAAAACCCCTAGAAGAGAAGCTCTTGCTGACCACCATTTCTCAAATTATATACCATCCACCACCACCATGACTACTTTTTACTTTAGTTAACCTTTTCCTGCTCATTTGTCTTCAGGATTCTTATTGCTTAGTATATATGGAAACTATATTACCTGGCTTCAAATTTCAGAATCATTACTCTGCAAATTACTGTGTAAATTACTGAACTTGTCTTTTTTTCACTATCTTTATCTGTAAAATAGAAGTAACAATACTACCCATTCAAGTCTCTTTGAGTATTAGATGAGGGAATACAGGCAATGTTCTTAGAAAAATTCCCACCCGCAATTTAAATGTCCAATAGGCATAAGCTAATGTTTCCTTACTTCCTTTCTCACATGACAGGATACTAAGTCCATTAGGAGAGAATCTTTCATCTGTTTTAACTGCTATGCTCTCAGTGAGTATACCATTGCCTCATATGTAGTGATATTCAGTAATTATTTTTAATTAATTTATTTATAAATGCACAGGTTGTTTATCCTTCTAATTCTATTAAAGTTTCTTTCTGCTTTCTTCAAATCAGTAGTGATGACTATGGATGAATTAGTTTCTGAAACAACTGAAATCCACAGATCAGCACTGTCATGAGAACTCAATTTTCTGAAAGAATGCACTGTGCCTGCACTTTGCCACCTACATGGATGACAGGGATAAAATTAAATCAAATGCAACAAGATAGTATATGAGTATCTGCACATGGCAATTACTTGTTCTTTTGGGCTATTGAACACAATGATTATTTTGGCAACATGTTTTATACCTTCATACTCTTTCCTTGTGATAACTTGTTTCAGTCTCCATGTTTCAACAATTGACATTAGTACTTCACTGGAGTGAATGAATGAGTGACTCTAACATGTCCTTCCTTCTGCCACCATCTCACAGCCACTAACTGGGTAATTTGATTCAGGAGAAGATAATTCTGTCACTTTAATTTCTATCAAAAAATCATAGTGCTGGCAGAAGTTCCACCCATAAGTATAGTTATAAAACCTGGAGCACAAATAGCTAAAAGTATATTGTTAAGTACTTGTTTTTCTAAATTACCCTTAGAAATCTGTGTCACAACAATATTTGATTCCCAATAATATATTGGCCCTAGTGTACATAGGATTCTTTCTTCTCTCCCTTCTATTGATAACCAGTTTTAGATATTTCTCTTCTACTTATCATACTAAAAAAAATCTAGAGCTACACAAAAGTATATATGTCTATTAAAAGCAAAACACACACACACACACACACAGCAGAATAAGAAGACAATTAAAAAAAAGTGTCCCATAAGTCATCAGCCTGCAGCCCCACCTTTATTCTTTTGCTTGCTCTAAACATTTGGACAAAAAGGGTATGATCTAATGTTAATATACTGAGTGGGGAAAACCCGCAAGTCCTCCCTGCTTAGATTCTTCTTGGTGTCTCTGAGCATGCATTCTTTTCTTCTGGGTGTGGGACAGGACCTCTCTGGAATGGGGACTTATGACCTATAGTCAAAGAGTTAGATCAGGTAATTTCTTTATGGCCAGTTTTTACAGAGAAAGGTAGAGGAAAAATTAGAATAATATTTTTAGGTTTCATGATGGGCTTGGGGCAAAAGAGGTGCTGGTTTCAATGACCCACATTGGGGAGGAGGGATCTTAGCTTCTAGGGATAACTTCAGTGGGGGAACAGGACTGAGAAATAGGAGGACAGGAGAAGGTCAGAGGAAAACTTGTTGCATCTAGAACTGCTGCAGACGACTTCATTTTAGGATATTGTTTTCTGAGTCCAACACAGCTAATGGAGCAATATGTAAACAAATGTATAAATTTTTTGTAAGTTTAATTTTTTTTCAGAATTAAAAGTTAAAAATGTGTATTGTTATTTAAGTGAGATTGAAATTGTTAAAAATAACATTAAATTTACTATTTTATTCATAGACAAAAAATTATATGGAAACTGGATTTTTTAATACTGTTCTTAAATTACTTTCTACACACCCTAATGAAGACAAATAAGAGTATCAGAATACCGTGTGATATCATTTGAATATTTTACCCATCCAAATCTCATATTGAATTGTAATCTCCAATGTTGAAGGTGGGGTCTGGTGGGAGGTTTTTGGGTTATGGGGGCAGATCCCTTATGGCTTGGTGCTGTACTGGTGTTAGTGAGTGAGTTTTGTAAAAGCTGGTTGTTGTAAAGTGTGGCACTTCTCCCCGTCACTCTCACTCTTGCTCCTGTTCTTGCCATTTTAAGTGCCTGCTTCCACTTTTCCCTCTGCCATGAGTAAAAGCTTCCTGAGACCCCCCCCCCGCAAAGAAGCTGAGCAGATGTGGGCATCATGCTTACTGTAAAGCCTGAAGAACCATGAGCCAATTAAACTCTTTTTTTTTTTTTAATAAATTGCCCAGTCTGAAGTATTTCTTCATAGCAATCCAAAAATAGATTAACACAGTGTTATAAAGTTAGAAAAATAGGCTTTCATCTAGGGAAACAATTTGTCAACCAAGCAACATTTTCTTATTTGGGGCTATTCATGATATAGGCATAAGAATTGCAAACATTGCTCTTGAATTTTTTTTTTTTTTTTGAGATGGAGTCTCACTCTGTCACCCAGGCTGGAGTGCAACGGTGCATTCTCGGCTCAGTGCAACCTCCACCTCCTGGGTACAAGAGATTCTCCTGCCTCAGCCTCCCGAGTAGCTGGGGTTACAGGCACCTGCCACCATGCCCAGCTAATTTTTTGTGTTTTTAGTAGAGATGGAGTTTCACTATGTTGGTCAGGCTGGTCTAGAACTCCTGACCTCAGGTGATCTACCCTCTTCAGCCTCCCAAAGTGCTGGGATTGCAGGCATGAGCCACTGCACCAGGCCTGAATTTTTTAAATATTAGATTACTCTAGAAATTTGATTTTTAAATATTGATTAGTGAGCACAAATATTTAGTATTACAAGAAAAAGTGGTATGACAAACGTATTGAATTTAATTGTGAATAACAAAAGAATCAAACTCTGTAATATATTTGAAGGGATTTATTCTTAGCCATATATGATTGAGTAAGGCCTGAGGTACAGTCTCAAGAGATTCTGAGAACATGTACCCAAAGTGGTTGGATTACAGCTTGATTTTATACATTTTAGGGGGACAGAAGTTACAGGCAAATATCAATCAATATATGTAAGGTGTACATTGGTTTGGTCTGGAAAGGAAGGAAAATTTGAAGCAAGGGATGGAGTTAAAGAGGGTAGACTGGGGACTTCCAGGTTATAGGTAGATTCAAAAATTTCCTGAAGGCAATTGGTTGAAAGGGAAAGCTTTGCCTGAAGAGTTGAAGTCAACAGAAATAAATGCTTGTAGTTAAGATAAAGGGTGTTGTGGAAGCCAAGGTTCTTATTATGTAGATGAAGTCTCCAAGTAGCAGACTTCAGAGAATAAATAGAAAATGTCTCATCACATCCTAAAATGTGTCAGTCTCTTAGTTAACTTTCTTTTGGATCAGGAAAAGACCTAGAAAGGGAAGAGGGTTCTCTACAGAATATAGATGTCCCCACAAGAGACAACTTTGCAGAGCTGTTTCAAAATATGTTAAAAAATATATTCTGGGGCAAAATACTTGGATTTCTTTCGGGTCCCACTATGTGTCATGGGATCTTACACTAGAGTCAGGTTGGAATTTTGTATCTTATTGCTGCAAACAGTCTGTTTTGTCAGTCTTAAGATCTCTGTTTTAATGTTAATGCTGGTCATCCATACCTGAATTCCAGAGAGAGAAGGGTAAAATGAGGGATGTCTGACCTGCTCTTTCCATCATGGCTTGACCTAGTTTTTCAGATTTACTTTGCAATGCTCTTGGCCAAGAGAGGGATCCATTCAGTTGGTTGGGAGCTTTAATGTTATTTTTGGCTTACAGAGTTAAATTTTCTTCATTTTGAACAAAATGAAAATATTTTATACTTTTTTTGAGGCAACTTTAAAATTGTTCATTAAGTTCTAGTTAGTAATTTTGTAAAACTCGAACTCAACTTGGCTGGTAAAATATTCCCATTAAATTATTTCTTGGAATAAGACTATTTTGTTTCTTCAGTAAGTTGACATCAGCCAAAGCATTAATTAGTCACTAATAAAAGCACCTAAGTGGTTGGTCCATTTAAGTTCTCACTTGGACCTGTACACACTGTGGTGCTCTCACTGCTTTTATAAGTATGAAAGGAAATTAAATTTTGGGACCCCAAACTCATTTAGCCAAAGGGAAAAGTCAAGCTGGGAACTGGGTCACGCAAACCTGCCTCCCCCTTTTGGTTCCTAAATAAGATGGCTACAAGATGAAAGGCTATATGCCTCCCCCATATTTTGCCCATGAGGAAATTCCTGGTGAGCTGTTAAAACTTCACCATAGCAATGCAAATTGATCGCTTATCTTCACAGGTGCAGCCACTTCAGTCCACCAGACACAAATGCATATCTGATTATTCCTGTACTGCATTTTGTCTGTGTTTTCATATGTAAAAGGCAGATTCCCCACATTGTTCCTCTGCCCGCTTTTGCTTATGTGAAAACTGTGTGCTTCCCACCCTTTCCGCTTTAAATTTGGAGCCCTCAAATCATCTTTGGAGAAGGGCATAGACCTGTCTCCCAGGGTGTGTCCTTAACTTTGGCAAATAAATCTCCTAAAATGATTGAGACTTGTCTCATCATTTTCTTCAATTGACATAAGTGAGTGGATTATACATTCCATACTTATATATCACAGGCTGTTAAGAGTCAGAATATGCACCCCAGACAGAGGTGTTTCTTACTTACTTTACTTTCTTCAAAAATGTAAAACATTCCTTTATAGACCCTTTCAGACCTGAAATTTTAGCATAATGAAGAGGAATCTAAGATCTAGACAGATGCATTGACTATTAAGAGTCTATTAAAAGTCAAGTTGGAGACTAGTGGAAGCTTGGCAAAAGCAGTGCTCCTCACATTTTAATATGTATATGAGTCACCTGGAGGACTTGTTAAATGAAGTCAATTAAAAATGCAGACTCTGTTTCAGTCCCTCAGAGAAGAGCCTGAGATTCTGCATTTCTATTGAGTGCCCAGGTGATGCTGTGCTGCTGGTCCCTGGTGCATACTCTTGTAGGACAGTCTTCTGGATGACCTTGGACCAATCCAGCTCTACCCTATTCTTGCAGGTAGTCCTTCAGAATAACTCTAGAATGTTCTGGGAATTAAACATGCTGAGATAGGGAAGGGCTGACTAGAAAAACTCTGACTTGTTTCCAGCCCCGCTTAGAAGCAGGATGTCCTTCAACATTTTAACCCAGCATGTCTTATTGCTCCCAGGGTATAAAACCCAAAGAGTTGAGCTGCTTTTCAGAGTCCCTGAGCTGTGGTGCAGTTGGGACATGCACAGACCAGATTTTATCTGCCTCAGGCAGCTTTCCTCAACCTAGCTCATCTTAAATCCCAGTCTTCTGTCATATACTGCTGCCTATCTGTAAGTAATAATTCCACTTCATATAACTTGTCCGTGTGTGTGTATGTGTGTGTATGGGGGGTATTCTGTCTCACCAGACTCAGACAGCTTGGTAACCAATGTACAGTGAACCTGCTTCACAGCTCGGATTAACAAAATATTATAAAGAAGAACATGATTTTCTGAGCTTCCTTTGGGCACCATACATTTTGAAAAATCTCAGCACCAAATGTTAAAATACTTTCCCTCTTGTTTCCCTCTTGTCCCAAAACCATCACTATATACTGGAATAGGAGTGAGCTGTTCACTTAAAGCCTGTTATCAATAGGTTTGTCAATGGCCTATTAGGTGGCCTGGTATAAAAGTACAGCCCAAGAAGATGTCTGTATCAAATGGGGACTGCCTCACCCAATGATATTCACTTCAGGTTTTGTGGAGATTTTGTGTCTGTGCGTGCTTCAGTGGGGAAAGACAGGAAGAGAGCGAGAGAGAATCAGCAGAGCAGAGGAGAGAGAATACATAACAAACAGTGTCTTCATTCTTAGAGGATATAAAGGCTACTTTCTACAGTTACTGCTGCATCACTGGAGTCTCTGACAGACACTAGAACTGGAGTGAGTCCTATTGTGTACTCAGTTCTTTCTGAGACCTGATATGCAATTCTTGAGACATCTTATGTTACTTGCTTATGGATCCTCACAAATAAACAAATTATTTACATATGAAATAACTGAGTATCTGAGAATTCTCAACATTCTCCCAGAAAAGCCCTAAGCTCCTCTACTGTTCAGACTCTTCAAATGTCTACTTCTGTACTTTGAAGAATTATAGTGAAAACTTTCCTCAAACTCTGTCACTGGGAGTATATAGAGAGCTAGGTGCTTTTCCAGTAATGCTTATGCACAAACAAGATTTATAATCCAGAGAATTTCACCAACTTTAAGACATTCTCGGTAGAAAAAGCAAATGGGGAAGAAGTAAAGATAGATTCTTTCATTATTATCAATGGTAACCATAATACTCAAGCTAACCAGTGGTTAGCAAACACAAAGCAGGGGGAAGAATCCCATCCTTATGTTAAGATTGTAGCTAGAGTCTTATTTAAAGACAATTTCAATTTAATGTTCAAGGAGATATCTATGAAAATTCAATTGGATTTCAAATTTCAGGAATTCATAAGGTCAGGGAAAATCTTAACAAGTGTGGTAAAGGTAAAAATATCTCAGATCCTTACCTTAAATATTGAAAAAACATGTGACATGCTGACAACATGTATGAAACTGCCCTTTCTCCACTCCCAGGACACCTTATCTCTGAAAAAAAAAATTATTTTAGCAGTGTGAAATAGACTGGGATGTTTGAAATGGAGTTTTACCAACAGAGTTTATATTTTACATCTCACAGACTGAGGGATTTCAAGGTAAGTTTATGGTATTAGGGAAGGAAAAGACATCTTGTAAAATCCACAAGGGTCATGATGGTAAGAGAAGTTGTCTGACTGAGATGAGTTTTCTAAAATCTTGATTCCCCAAACTGGTGCTCATCTGACTGTAATGAGATTTTTTTTTAAAAAAACAAAACACCTCAATATTATAAAGCATTAAATTCATACAAAGAAATAGACATTAAGATGTATATATACATCTTACATTAGGTGCATCAATGAGTACACAGGCTGGGAACAAGATTGCCCAGCTAAGTATAACTAGGGAAAATGAACTTGCCTGCTATCTTAATGACTGTCTTTTAGGAAGGGTTACTTCTTAGACCCATGTGTAACTCACAAATAGATAGGGGAAACCTATTAGAGAAAAAATATGAGGTTGCCACAGAAACGTTAAGTAAGCCCTACCTCTGGTAGGTGAGCAGTTCCAGGGTTTCCATTTTTTTCTGACAGTATATGAAAGAAAATGCTTAAAAATTTTGAAATTCTAGAATGAAGACAGCATCACGTAACTTTGTTCTCATTGCTTCAAAGTTTTGGGAGGAAACCATGGCTCTTTCATGTTCCCCATTGGCCCCTCCCCAACAATAATTTTACCACATATGCTACTGGTTTGCAGTGGTTTGATTTGTTGTTTTCTTAGAGGGAAAATGAAAATTTATCATTTCTGGAACTTCATACTTCCATTCTTTTAGGAGACTTTGTGAACTTCAAAGCCCTTTAGTTTTATTCTATTTAATCTTCATAAAAATAATTTCAGGGTTATATTTAATAATTATATATTTGTTTTGATTAAAAAGATAATAGGAAATAACTCACATATATTTATTTATAAAACCTTTCTAAAAACCACGTGCTGTTACAAAAGCACCACATTCCTAGCACCTCACTCATTACATTTCCCTGTGCTATGCTCTTGCTAGTCTATACATAAGCAAAGGTGAAAAGCCTGTTTATGCTAAGTAAATACAAACTTGCATTTATGTATTTTTCTGCTATAAATGAAATTTGGAAGAGACCTAAACAACATGAGTCACTGTGGTCTTCTTCAAAAAAACATTTTCAAAAATAAAATAGGCGTGTTCTCATTTTCTTACTATATTAATATTATTTTAAAGGAAATAATTAAAATTATACTTTCTGGTGATTGACACCATAATAATCACTTGGTTTTGATGAACTTTCCTTTTAAGACAACTCTAAATTTTGGAATTGAATTTTTAAATTTGTTAACAAGAAATTCTCACCAGTCAATTTTTATTTTTTTGAGACAGGGTCTTGCTGTGTCACTCAGGCTGGCTCACTGCAGCATCAGCCTCCTGGGATCAAGCCATCCTCTTGCCTCAACCTCCCATGCCTCCCATGTAGCTGAGACCACAGGTGCATGCCATGGCACATCACTATTTTTTTTTTTATTTTACTTTTTGTGAAGATGGGTGGGGGGTGGTCTCACTTTGTTGCTCAGGTGGGTCTCAAACTCTTGTACTGTTTTTTTTTTAATTTTACTTTTTGTGAAGATGGGGAGGGTGGTCTCACTTTGTTGCTCAGGTGGGTCTCAAACTCTTGGGTTCTAGCAATCCTCTCGCCTCAGCTTCCCAAAGTGCTAGGATTATAGGCGTGAGCCACCACACAACCAGCCTTGCAAACAGTATTGATTTAAACTTTCTACATTATCAAGACAATTTTAAGGGGTTAACAAATGATAAGAAGGGATATAAATTTTGTTTATAATAATATTGGTATTATTGGGACTAGTGCTACACTCTTAAACATAAAACAGAGAGATTTGTTTTGATCAGATGAAATAGTTAATGAGACTTTCTTGTTAATATCAATTTATATTTCAATAAGTGAAAAAATCATCTGAAATATATTCTTCATGGATATCTGTATATTTTGAACACTTAAGGTGTATGTTTAGTAATACTATTTTATGTACATTATGTTTTTTAATGTCCAATGCTGGAATTTTTTAAAAAAATTTTAGTAATCATCACATTCTTTTCCAAGTAACAGGGTTCTTGAAAGTACTTGGCTTGGCCAGGCGTGGTAGCTCAAGCCTGTAATCCCAGCACTTTGGGAGGCCAAGGTGGGTGGATCACGAGGTCAGGAGTTCAAGACCAGCCTGGCCAAGATGGTAAAACCCTGTCTCTACTAAAAATACAAAAATTAGCCGGGCACGGTGGTAGGTTCCTGTAGTCCCAGCTACTCGGGAGGCTGAGGCAGGAGAATCGCTTGAACGTGGGAGGCGGAGGTTGCAGTGAGCCGAGATCGTGCCACTGCACTCTAGCCTGAGTGACAGAGCGAGACTCCATCTCAAAAAAAAAAAAAAAAAAAGGAACGTACTTGGCTTATGTGTTGCTTATAAAGGAATACATGTATAAATACTTAATGAATGGATATACAGCACCTGTTGGGTCATGGCATATCAAAGGATCATCAAAACTCTGAAAGAAACAAATATAAGAAAGGTTAATTTTAGTCTATTTTCTGTTAACCCTTTGTGTTATTGCAAAAAAAATGATGTTTTTTTCTCATTCAAGTGAGATGGATTACAATAGACTCAACATTAAACTAGCAAAAATAAATATATGTGATAACAACTATGCTATCACATTGAGACTGCATTTACTCATTTTTTATTTCAGGAAGAGAACTTCAAGACTTTGATTCCAAGTTTCTCCTTTTACCTAAGCTGCAGAATGGTAATTGGCTTTCCCATGTTACAGAGTTAGTTTCCATAAAATTTAGACGAAATCTCTGCTGACTTCTAGTTCCAAGCATTTTATAAATATTACACTAATTAACTCTGCAGCTCAACTTCTTTTCAGTTTTTCTGTTTAAACTATACTAAGTTCTTACCACTTAGCTTATTACAATATGTCTGTAAGATGATTTAACCAGATTGGTTTTCGAAAATAAGCTACATTTGAACCTTCAAATATATACATATATATTTTTGTTTTATGTTCATTTAGATAAAATTAAGTACAGTAACAGAGAAAGCAATTTTTTTCTAATTTAAATTTGAAGTCCTAAAATTTACCCTTTCAAATAAAATGTTTCTTTTTTACAGTTCAAATTATAATATAAAATACTTCTTTATAGACTTAAATTTGGTGGCATTTCAGAGGCTTGGCTGAACCCTATAGCTTGAACTTGTTAATGAAATAAAAATTTAATATCCTTATAATAGATGAAGGAAAATTATTAATCTTCATCTTAGCCAAATAATATGTTAATGAAAAACATAGTTATCATTTAAGGTCTCATAATTTGCCATAATGGTCATTGGAAATCACTTATTTTCCTATGAACTGTTAATTCCAATTACATTAACTTTTCAGAGTGAGATAAAGAGGCATGCAAATGTGTACAGTTAAATTACAGATTATAGAGCTATACTTCCCCTTTAAAGCAAGTACCTCAGTCTTTCTGGATCACTGTCCTACTTTTCAACACTTTTGAACACCCATTTACACTATTATTTAACTTAAAGGGCCAGAGCATTATTTTGAGTTGAGTGATCATGGCACACACCATAACAGATGATGCATGCACTATTACACTCCTTCATACACTGAGAGGTTATGCTGGAGTAGAAGGAGATAGTGCATTCTTCCCACGCTACTACAAGCACCTCAAAGGCGGATAATCAGGCCTTAGGGTATGCCAAGTCCTTAAATCATTTTAGAAAGAATCCTTATCTACTGATCTACTGCTAGCATCTAACATGACCCACAAATATTTACAACAATTTACCAAGGTAATAATGGAGCATCAACTTGGCAACTGTCGATTATGAATACATCACTGGGTTACACAAGGTCCATCCTGTCATTTCTGAGGCAAGTCATTGAAGCTCTTTGAGCCTCACCCAGCATTCTCCTCTGTGAAACAGATAATAGAAACTACTGCAAAAAAGTAGAATCTATTCAGAAAATATAGTAGGAAGAGATACTCTTGTAGGGCTCAAAAGGCAAAGGATATAATGTTTGGGCCTAAAAAGGAAAATAAGTAGGCAGAGGAACTAGTCAACGTGGCTAATGACAAAAAGAAAAAAAAGAATTAATATTTGCAAATCCCCTAATGATTGGGGGAAAGTTGTGATGACTAAAGTAGAGGCTAGACAGAAAATATCTACTACACAGCCTGCAGCATTTCATGTCCATTTCTAATAATTAGAGACAAGATCAGCTCCAGCAGAGAGGGAAAAGAAAAAGGTAGATACATGCATATTGATTTGAAAAGCATAAAAAAGGTACTAAAATGCATAGTAATTATTAATAAGTGTTTTTATTTTTATTTTTTTCCTCTGTGGTCTGAAGTGGATAACAGGGAAGAGAGCAAGGACTTTCTAATAGTTAAATTTGGGGACAGACTGGGGACACTTTTCTAATTTTCTCCAGGCCCCAACCCATATTGTAGAATAATGAATACACCGAAGATTGTTATGCTATTCTGGAAAAAGGAATACATACCTGTGGTTGGCAATCTTTCCAACTATGTCTACATGGGAAGGTTAACATTCATATTCAAAGCAACCAAATATATCTCAAAATTTAAAAAAAGTTAATCTCAATGACCAAATAAAGAGTCTATGAAGAGATTCATGCATGTGAAGTTATCTATTATATCATTAAAAGTGACATTTCAAATCCATGGGGCAAAGTAATAAAAATGACTTAAAAGCAATTGACTTTTCATTTGGAAAAAAATTAAAACTGAATGCCTACTTCACGTGATATAAAAATATATATTCCAGAAGGGATTAGAGGGTAACATGAAAAATACATAAATTATAGTCCACTATAAGGTAATATTGTTTTAATTTTTGTAAAATGTTTTTCTAAGCGGGACACAAATCCCTAAAACCATAAGGAAAAGGCTGAGTAATTTGTGCTCATAAAATTGAAAAAAAACAGTTCATAAAACAAGAGACTATATGTAGTTGAAAATGATTTAGCAATCGCTTTACAGGGTATTTATCCAAAGGATAGGGAATAGTTATATCAAAGGGACACCTGCACTCGCATGTTTACTGTAGCTCCATTCACAATAGCAAAGATATGGTGTCAAACTAAGTGTCCCACAGCAGATAAGTGAATAAAGAAACTGTGGTATATAGACACAGTGGAATAGTGTCCAGCCATAAAAACGATGAAATTCCTGTTGTTTTTAGCTACATGGAGGAAACTGGAAATCATTATGTTAAATGAGTGAAACAAGCCAGACACAGAAAGACAAGTATTGCTTGGTTGCCATATGCCCTATGTGGGAATTAAAAGTTGATCTCATAGAGGGAGAGAGGAGAATGACAGAGGTTGGGAAGAGTGTTTATGTGGGGTGGGAGATGAAGAGAGCTTGGTGCATGGGTACAAACATACAGTTAAATTGAAGAAATAAGTACCAATGTTTGATAGCAGAGTAGGGTGACTATAGTTAATAATAACGTATTGTACATTTCAAAATAGTTAGAAGAGAGGATTTGAAATGTCACTACCACATAGAAATGATAAATACTTAAGAGGATGGATACCCTATATAGCTTGACTTTGATCACTACACATTCTATACATGTAACAAAATATGACATGTACCTCATAAAAATGTGTAAATATTATATCAAGAATATCTTGACTGGCTGAAAATATTGACAAATGACATTACTAACAAATGATTGGTACTTTTCAGTGTTCCACTTTTATGAAACTACTATAAATGTTTATAAGAACTACTTTTATAGTACTACTTTCATAGTTCTTAACTACTTTTATAGTTCTTGTAAACATTAAGTGTTAATAGAGAATGTATTAAAAATATACTAACATATATTGAGCATTTTATATCTCAGTATGTTAGAGGCATTTTATATGTTATAAAATACATTATAAATGTTATACATTATGTATAAAGTATATATGTTATAAAGATGCCTTATACACTAACTATATGTATATAGTAGTATTATCTAATATTTGCTAAATATTTACTAGATTGCAGGCTCTATGCTAAGGGCCTGTTACTTATTTAATACTCATAGTAACCCTGTGATGTTGGTACTTATTGTTTCTTTTTTATAGGTTAAGAATATTTAATCTCAAAATAGTGAAATACCTCAGTCAAGGGTTCACACTACTTAGATAGCAGAAAAGTCTGACCCCAGAGCCTGTGCTTAGAAGCATATTATGTGAAGTTGTAAGTTCTTATATTGTTATTTATAATAGTGAACATTTTGGAAATAAGTGTCAACAAAATTATGATACATTCATAATGTTGAAGAATATGCAGTGGTTAAATATATTTATATATATATATATATATGTCTACTAACATGGGACACCACTTCAGAATATATTAAGTGCGAGGAAGAGTTACAGAAAACAATGATCCATTTAAGTTTTAAAAATCCTATTATGTATGAAGAAAAAGGTAGATACATGCATATTGACTTGTAAAGCATAAAAAAGGTATGAAAAATGCATAGTAATTGTTAATAATTGTGTTTTTTTTTTTCCTCTATGGTCTTAAGTGGATAACAGGGAGGAGATCAAGGACTTTCTAATAGTATTTTCTTTGTTTGGTAATGTTTGAGTTTCTTACAAAGATAATATTGTCTTATATTACCATTTTTAAAAATTTAAAACCACATTTTCTTTGGGAAATATGAACAGATTGTTTTGACTATGATTTCGTAGGAATTGTTGGTCTCTATGTAGTGCATGCAGAATGTTTGATATATGTAACGTCATTCCTAAAGGAAAGTGTCAAAATACTCTGTGAAATAGAACACAGTATACAATGTTAGTTTTGATTAGGGTATATATATGAGTACACATGACATAAGTATTATATTTGATTAGGGTATGTATGTACACAGACATAAGTATTATATATAATACTTATTATATATTATACTTACATATATTATATATAATATATATAATACATATATAATATATAACTTATATATAATATATATAATACTTATATCTAATAAGTGTTATATATAATACTTATATCTAATAAGTGTTATATATAATACTTATATATAATACTTATATATAAAAGTGTTATATGTAACACTTATATAATAATTATATATAAGTATTATATATAAGTGTTGTATATAATAATTATATATAAGTATTATATATAAGTGTTGTATATAATAATTATATATAAGTATTATATATAATACTTATATATAATTATATATAATACTTATATATTATATTTTTATAATTATATGATTAAGTATATTTTAATATTATTAATTATATATAATACTTATGTCTGTATATATAATAATATTTGTTATGTGTATAAATATGTATTATATATTTTATATATAATACTTAAGATTGATTGTGTTAGAATTGATGTGATTATTTGAACATTTGTATGACCAATTAACCTAATGACAAATAATTCCCCATATCTAAAATATTACAAATTATCTCCAAAAACATATATATTATTTTATGCATCAGTATGTTAAGATCAATGTGTTAAATAATGTCTCATCAAAATGTAATTTTATAGTCTACATTATGTTTAACTTTGATGGCTCTAAAATGGGTTAAATCTGTCAAACAGAGCAACTCCTAATTCCTTTCCCTCATACACATAATTCCCTATCCTAATCCTCCTCCAAAGAAGAAGTCTCCCTGAGTTTTGTATCTACAAGTCCACTCTCTGACCCTCAGGTCGGAACGTGAGGCTCATATTTCTTTCCCTGTAATTCTTTCATGCACAAGTTTTATGGCCTCCACCTTGAGATACCATTACCAGTGAAGCTGAGTTATTATATACCAAACTGAAATGAGCCAGGAAATGTTTCTCACAATATTTCACAATTCCTAATGCAGGTATAGGCCCTGATAGAATCCCCAAAATTGCTATCAAAGTTCAAATTGAATGTGAACCATAGAATGCTTCAATTCACATAAGAAAGATCTATCATTGCTCTGCATTTGGCATAGGGTTAATCTAAAACTGAGGTCTTAATTGGTTGACTTGCAGTTTAGATATCCATAAATAATGCAGATATGAATTTATCTGTAATCAGCCTTTTCTGTCTTTCAGCACCACAGGGTAGACCTTCTTTTCTTGTTCAATTGAAACAAATGTGAAAAGGCATATAGATAGTTTTTTTTTTTTTTTACCATGTTCTATTCTTGTTTTTTTTGTCTTAACATTTTACTGGAGTGAAGTAGCACATACACAGAAAAGTGCACATATCATAGTATAGAGCACAATGATTTTCACACACTAAGCACTCTGGTAACCAACACTCAGATGAATAAATCGGCAATTATCACCATCCCTGCTTAGTGTCATTCCTGTTCATGGAGGAATTTCAGAGAAGCTGCCACCAAAGCTTCCATACCTAAGTGAGTGTTTCTAAGGAGGAAGCCTGAAAGCTGTAAGCAAAACTCTACTTCTGTGCTCTGCCAGTTGCCACAGACACACTTATATATGCTTTCATCTGCTGATAGCAAATAATGCTGTGGCATAAGAGAAAATATATATTTGGTCTCTACACCTGTCTCTTGACATAGAGCTCCTAAAACCCCTGTAGTTCCCTGAGTGATAGGGTGCTAAGAGCATCCTTTGTTCAATTTGACCTTTGACCCTGGTTTGTGACATAGAGCTCCTTAACTTCTTGGAATTTCCCGGGTGATAAAAATATCTTTTGTTCTAATGAGGCAACACTTGGTAGGGTCCTGGACAGCTTCAAGTTGGGGGCTGGTTGCCAGGAAGACCAAGCCATGATTAGAAACTTGAAACTTTCAGCCTCAGAGACGCTGGGAATTGAGTTAGTAATCAATCATGCCTATGTGATGAAGCCTCCATAACAATCCCTCAACTACAGGTTCAGAGAACTTCTGGGCATTGAATATATTGATGTGCTTGGAGAGTGTCACATCACAACTCCTTGGGCACAGAAGCTCCTGTGCTCAGGAACCCTCAGTCCCCATTCTATGTACATACCTCTTCATCTGGCTGTTCATCTGTATTCTTTCTAATATCCTTTACAATACAGTGGTAAATTTAAGTAAATATTTGCTTGAGTTTTGTGAGCTGTTTTAGCAAATTATTTGACATGAGGAGGGTGAGAAGTTCTGATTTATAACTGGTTGGTCAGAAGTATAGGTGACAACCTGGATCTTGTGATTGGCATTTGAAGAGGTAAACAGACTTGTGGGACTGAGCCCTTAATCTCTTGGATCTGCACTAACTCCAAGTAGTTGCAGAATTAAACTGTAGGACATCAAGTTGGTATCTGTACAGTTGGTGAGTCAGTTGGTGCGGGAAAACTTGATAAACATTTGGTGTCAGAAATGTTCTGTGGGTAAAAATAGGTTTCCTTTAAATGGCTTCTCCTTCTCCCCAGTCTATCCAATTTTACCTGAGTGCCTTCCACTGAAGAATTAAAATAGAAAGCTATTAGAAAGGGTATATGGTAAATAATATTTTAAGGCTTTATACTACCACAATCAAACAACAGGTCTAGAAGAGTAGGCAAGATACTGATTATCAACAAACACAACTGGCACACTTTCTGAGTCTTCTGAAACCTAGAGAAATCATCTTTCATGGTGCGAACATGATTTACTGTTGATATGTCACTAATAGGGAGTAAAAAATTTGAAAAAAAATTAATATGTTGGGGTGTTTGATATTAACTATAGGAAGTCAAAAAGACTCACAATTTCCCCTTTGCATTTTAAATTTTTTAAAAAATTATACTTATTTTTAAAATTATGGATCAATATTTACAAATGTGGAAAGACTGATAAGAGAAAATTCCAATGTCGCATCTTCCAATTTCAGTCTTACATCTGTACACCCCACCTTCTTCCACCTCTTCCTTAAGGATAATCGATACAAATGTAAAATATATGTACTTTAATCAATAGATATTTATTAGGGATATCTAAAATGTAAGACTTTTTAAACATAACCACAATATTGCTGTTTATTATGCCTAAAACATGTGTAAAGTTAATTGTTTAATAACACCAAATATTTTGGCAGTGTTTAAGTATCTCTATTTGATAATTTTTAAAAGAATCAAGATCTTGATAAAATCTATACATTGCATTTGGATGATAAATTGCAAGAGTCTCCTTTACATAGTCTCTCTCTCTCTCTCTCTCTCCCTCCCCCACACACACACCCCTCTCTCTCTCTCTCTCTAGAAGTTTATTTATTGACTATTCAGGTGGTTATGCACAGTATGGATTTGGTTGATTTCATCCCTGTGGTATTATTTAACATGTTTCTCTGTGCCATGTTACTGTTAAGAGCCTTGTCCAGATTCTGAAATGTGGTGCTGTGTACTAACACCAGGAGGCACATAATGTCTAGCTTTTTCTCCTTTGTGTTTTTAGCTGTTATTAGGTCATTATTTTTCTTGAAGTTGCAAAATGCTGACATTCTGACTCTACTATTCTTCGTTTAGAATCTGGAGGAGAATTTTCACAACTTAATTAATTGGTTATCCTTAAGTACAGTTCACAATGGAAAAGGTGGATAGACTCTTGATTTTTTTTCTTTATGTATCAGTCCTCAAATAGTTTTCTGGGACCTCAGATGTGGGCAATGTGTACTCAGTTCTAACACAATATTTAAGAGTTCTGTAACACTGAAAAAATTATGTTTCCTCTCTGTTGATATATAAATCTGGTGGAGATGTTTGAATAATTAGAAATAATTCACACAAGAAAATGCCTAGCTGACACTTTTGCATACAGTAAAAACTCAATCCATTATTATAATCATTACTGTTTGTTTAAATACTCTATATGCAATGTTTACACATATGGCTTGAGGAAATAGGAGAAATATTGAACTATGTATTATATAAATATATATAACATTATATATAACATATATGATATATAATACATATATATTATCTTATGTATGTTATATATAATATATATGCACAGAGAAAAAGAGCACAGTAGAGTTACCAAAAGAAAAAATGTTTATTTGGGGAATGTGCTCTAAAACACTGGATTATTTTTATATTACATGTAAACAATAGCCATACTTCAAGCCCCTCTGCCATTTTTACTTGCCGTCTTCTCAGTGAAGAGATTTCAAAAATGCCAGTTTTTCAGACAGGAGAGGAGATAAAGGGTTTGAGATAGCAGAACAATAGAGCTAAGAAATATAAACTTGGTCTAAGTCTTTTGACAAAATCTAGCATCAGCCTGAAAATTTATCATTCTTTTCAGTATATGTTTCATGTAAGCTTGTTAGAAAAGAAGAATAAGATTACGTATACAGATGGCTAACTCAGCAGGTGAGAGCTTGATTAATCTCAGGTCAAGACCTCATGTCTCCTACGGGCTCATTATTTTCACACGTTTTCATGTCCACAGTGTACATATTTAACCCAGGTCAGTCATTTCATAAATGCTTATTCAGATTCATTCATAACGGGTAAATTCTTGAAGTTCTAACTCCACAATAAAAGAAAAACTTACAGCACATTCATAATAATATTGGATTTGTAGTTTCAATCACAAATTAAAACCAACAATAATGTTTTTATGCCCATTATCCATTGTCTCTATGTTAATGAATTCCATTGATCCATCAACTTATATTTAGGGTTTCTGATTGTCTATTTTGCTGACAAGTCAATACCTTCAACTCATTGAAACCATGGAAAATTCATAAGATGTGCAATAGAGGTGAGTTGATGTCAGATGGCTATCTGATAATTCTTCCCACGTGTGGGTTACTCTGACTCTGAGTATCAAAAAGAAAAAGTCCATCTCTTCCTAGAGAACTGTGAGATTTTCAGCCTCTCTTGCAGCTAGATTGAGAGCATGTGATCTAGTTTTTCAAGTCAGTTTTTCCCACCTTAGACTTTGAATTGGAATTTAGGGCAAAAACCATAGAACACCAATTTTAGCAATAGTGGCAACATCATCAAGGCCCCAGGAATAGGAGCAGCAATAGTAGAAGCAGTGCAGTGCACAGGGAGAATACAGTATTTGGTGCTGACAGTGACAGAAGTGCAAGCTGGCATATGTGCTGTGCAGCAGCAGCAGCAGCCAGACAGTTCTCACAGAGCTGATATTTGATGTGGCAGCCAGTCTGCTGCTAACTGCAACCTGGCTTTTCCTCTTCTTGGCCATTTTTCCAACCTGATTCTTCAATCTTCCTGACTCTTTTGTGTACTGCTTGCTGCCCTCTACATAAATATTCTGTTTAAATTAACAAGTTTGCTCCTGTTACACAAAACAAAGAATCTAACTGGCACAAGAAGTGATCACAGAAGCTCAAGAAAATGCAGACAATCTGAGATGGATTTTCTGGACAGAGTTGATGTGAAAAACACAACTAACATTTGGGGAAATAATTCTGTTAATCCCTAGCATGCAATGGCTAAACGAATGTATTCCATGCTACGTGAACTCTAATCATCTGAATAGATGTTATAATACCTTTCAATGAAATTAGCCAATTCTTACTATCCAAATTGAAAACCTGGTATAACAAACCTACAAGCAAGTTTCAGTGAAAACATTTAAATTGCATGGATATTAATGTGAAAATATGCAGAGTATGTTGTAGTTTTACCTCAGTGATTTCCTCAATAAATTTTTGTCTTGTACTTGCATTTAAAAATATGATGTGTATTTTTTGCTATCATTTATTCCTACATGAGTAAGTTTAAAAAGTCTAACGAAGTAGAAATGCTGTGAAGAAAATAGGTGAGCCTAAGAGGCACCAAAATTATATATTAGAAAAAACATTTGAGGTAATAAAGCATTTTAACAGAGGTGACTACTTAAAATACATGATCATGGCCATACACATATTCCCAATAACTGTTTAAGTGAGTTGTTTCTCAGCATGGGAAAATAAATAACAATTATGAAAGACAGCTATTGCTAGTTTTACCAGTGGAGGGTCTTGACTACGAGTCGTCCAGGTTCTTGGCATTTTGAACAAAGAATTGGAAAAAGTACACAAACAAAGCAGTGAAAGAATGAAGCAACAAAAGCACAGATGTAATGAAATGAAAGTACACTCCACAGAGTGGGAGTAGGTTAGAGCAAGCGGCTCAAGAACTCTGGTTACAGAAATTTCTGGGGTTTAAATACCCTCTAGAGGTTTCCCATTGGTTAATTGGTTACACCCTATATAAATGAAGCAGTGGGCCATGACCAGTCTGATTGGTTGTGGGAGGGGGCCAATCAGAGGCTGAAGTAAAGTTACAAAATTATACATGAAGACTGGTTGGGGGAGGGGACCAATCAGAGATACTTTCCATTTTTTATTTGGGCAAGGGAGTAGCGTCTGATCCTTTTGTTACTTGGATGTGGAGAGGTGGGGTTTTCCTTCTGATTCAGTTCTAGGAGGTCAGCTCAGTGTTAGGTTCCCTGACTCCAGACCCTATTGTCCTGCCTCACTGGTTCTGGAAAATTTCAATATGTTACCTATATATGGCATATTAATTTTGAAAAAAAAATCAGAGAATTAACATGCCCAGTGCATGTGAACCACAATCAGTGTTGGCTGACCCTGAACATCATATTGGTACAGCAGAAAGTGCCAAACATATTTAAAGACCTGAATAAGGCCACGATAAAGGAGTATGGTGACTTAGCGAAGGAGCTGAGAAGTAGACTGAGTTAGGGTAGATTAAGGTATTTAAGAATCATGCAATGCTGCATGATTTGAAGATTATGGGTCAAGGAGTTTCTGCTGATAATGAGGCTGCAGTAGTCTATGAATTGCAAAATTCTGCTGTTTCTGACTTCACGCCACTGGGGAAATGATTGACAAAAAGTAAGAACATCATAAATCTTGGTAAGAAGCTTGAATTTAGTGAGATGTCTAGAAATATGCTGATGAAATGTTGTCAACACATAGTGAATTGCTTACTATGAAGAAAGACATTCTACTTGATGCTTATCATTGGCCTAAGAAAGAAAAAGAAAGCCATAGCTGTATGTCATGTCTTTAAAAGAAACTACATTATTCAGAGCAATACGTACTGCTGAAATTGATCATAACATGAGCACTTGAAAATATCCACTTTTCAAAAAGCAATTGTAAATGTAGGTAGCTTTTGTAATTGATCTTAAGCATAAATAATGCAAGCTGATAATCATTTTTAGTTTATTCATGTTTTTTTTTTCTTCAGAAAACCCACTTCTGTTATTTTAAGTGCCAAATGAGAATAATGTCCACCGTGCATTTTGATTTGACCTTGTACACTCTTTGGACAGTTTTAACCTCTCTTTTATCAATGCACTCCCAAGACTTCAGTGAACAGCAGGAAAAACCTACTTCCATCTACCTTCCCCCATCCCAAAGTTTATCAAGTTTTTCAAAGATTATAGATTGGTATGACACATTAAGCAGCCTGGGGCTTTTGTGAGTTTAATTTAGTTAGTTAACTGAAACTAGATTCAACAGCACCTTGGACTACAGGATATGGAGATGACAAAAATTTCTTCATTTAAAGCATAGAAAGTAATCCATAGACTTGGGTATTAGGCACATGGAGCACAATTTCTATGTCTGAAAAAAGATTTTAGTTACTTAACCTCTTTAGTAGGTAAACAACCCCAAATAGAGGAGAAACGAAGTTCTGTATTTTCATTCCTCTTTCATTTTCTTTCAGTTTCATTTCTTCTACTGTTTTCTATAGCACATGCTTGGTAATAATTCTATGGTTAAAAAATATAAAGACATGATTTTGGCAATCATTTTGCAGTGTATATGTTTATCAAAACATTATGTTGTATACTTTCAATATATAGAATTTTTATTTGTTAATGGTATTTCAATTAAGCAGGGAAAATATTTTACACAAAAATAAAAGAAACAAGTAACTGAAGTGTGTGTGTGTGTGTGTGTGTGTGTGTGTGTGTGTGTGTATCTATGAAGATGTATTGAGGTCAGAAGAAGTAATAAACATTTCTCTAGAGATCCTGGTGTTCTAGCTAAATGTAGTAACTGATGAAATTTTGAGTTGCTCTTCTTTGCAGAAGGTGAGAATGCATTTTGGTTTCATAAAGCATAGTGTATTACATTAGGACAGGGTTGCTTTATTTCATTTTCATTTTTGAAGTGGAACTATGTGAAAAGGTTTTGTATACTAGAGAGCCAAAAATAACAAATGCTTGGCAGACAAATAGGTATATGGTGGTGGTCACTTATCATGTCCTCTATGACAAGCATCCAGTTCCCATTTTATGGATGGACAATTTCTTACTTGGAGCGTCAGTGGAGATACAGACTGCTTTCTACCATGCAAGCTGAAAATGCCAGATACCAGTTTTCTCAGGGCATGACATGAAATACTGGTTTTCTTAAACTGATTCACCAACTCTGGGCTTGAAATTGGGAGACAAGAGCAAAGAACCCATTCTGCCAGTGTGCAGCATTAGTTGCAGGGACAAATCCCAGAGGCGGCATAGCACAGTGTCCAGTGTTCAGTATTGCTAGCGGCAATTTAAACAGGTTGCTTATGTTCTGTGGAAACTGTAGCAGTCTCTTCATTGGACTAATGTTACTGAGTTTGACTGTGGTCCTATCTGATGACTGTCCTACTTTGTTCCTGCCCAATTTTCCAGGCATGATTCCCTAGCCTTCCTGAAATTTCCTGAGTTATTCAATACACTTTGATAAATATATATTTTCTTTGATAAATATATATTTGATAAATACATGCCTGGGCCAATATCTATAGCTAATAAATAGGAATAATGACAGATTCTGGGTCCTAAAAAGTGGCCTAAAATCTATGAATAGACAATAAATGTGCACTATCAGAGAACTTTCAAAAATAGGAGACTAAATATCTGATCTGTAGTTACATGTGCTAAGCTGGAAGCTAAGATTCTCACCAAGCTAACAAGTCATGGATCCATTAGGAAATATAATCCATACTTAGCTGATATTTTGAAATGAGACTTTATAGTTGACAAAGGTAAGGGAACCAGCAAGACATGATGAGGCCCTAGAAACCAGCAGCGGTAAGAAAAAGCTCCATTGAGTGAAGGGGAGGAAAGAGTTACCAGAGCCATGTGAGCACTGACGTTAGGAAAGAGTGTAATCTGGTAGGAGCTATAGTTACAAAAAGACAAAATTATACCGAAAAATATAGAATAGGCAGGTAGTGGGGCTAGCAGGAAAAAAAAAATCTGACTGTCATTCATTCCCCCAGGCTTCCAATCTTCTGTTGGTGCCTCCAACACCATTGTTGCTGGAATATGTTACCTAAATTGTGCAGTTAACATAAAAGCAAATATGAGATATACAAAGAAACATAAATGTATTTTGATACCCAGGAAAGAATAACTAATTAACAGGCATTGTATTTGACAGGGCCAGGATGTTAGACTTAGCAGAAAAAAAATCAGAGCACCTATGATAAATATTTGCCAAAAAAATGAAAGGAAACCGTGATGAAAGGTTTGGTGGTATTATGTCATCAGATAAAAAAAAGAACTGCCAATAAAGATATAGAAATATAAAAAATTGAAATTCTGAAGTTGTAAAATGAGTAAACAAATTTTACTAGAAAAGCTAAGCAGTAGATTTAAGCTCACAGAAGAAAGCATTAGCAAACTTGAAGGTAGATCAATATCTGCACCCAAATGTGAAAAGCAGAGAAGAAAAATAAAGAAGAAAAATTTTCAAAAAGCTTCAGAGAAATGTGGGACAACATTAAGCACACCAACATATAGCTACTGAGATTATCAGAGAGAGGAGAAAGACAAATGAGCAGAAAAAGTACATGAAGAAATAGTGTCCAAACACTTTCCAAATTATATTAAAATATTAAATTACACATCCAAGAAACTCAGTGGATTCTAAATAGAATAAATGCAAAGAGATCTACACACAGACACATCATAGTAAAACCATCAAAAAACAAATATATTAAGAAAATATTAAAAGTAGCCAGAAAAAAATGTACTTTTCACATTTAAAAAAGCCCAGTGATATTAACCACTCTCTTATCATCAGAAACAGTGGAGTCCAGAGGTCAATTGGATGAAATAGTCAAAGTACTAGGGAAAAAAATCAGCCAAATTTTTAAATCTGGCAATACTGTCTTCAAGAAATGATCAACAAAAACCAAGAGGTATTTTTTCTGACAAATGTGCATTATAAGAAATAGCAGGGGAAATTCTTTACATTGAAATCAACTGATGCCAGACAGTAATTTGAATGTACACATGACAAAAAGAATCTGTAAAGGTAATTATGTAGGGATGTATAAAAGAGAGTATAATTGCATACTTCTTTCTCCTCTCACCTATTTAAAGAGCAATTGCATAACACAATATATATTTAATTGTATTGTTGGGCCTATTACATGTAACAATGTAATATATTTGGTAGTAACAACACAAGTATGGTGAATGAGGTCAGAGGTGTATTACAGTATAAAAAAATTCAGGTCACAATATGAATCCACAGGAAGCAATGAAGATATTAAATAATAGTAAATAAAAATGTAAATACAACAAACCTTATAAATATATGCTTAGTCTCCTTTCTTCTTCCAGCTTTTTAAAAACTTAAAATAATCTAAATTAATAATTGTAACAATAAATTGTTGTGTTTGTAATATATAAAGATATAATAGGTATAACAACAACAGCGAAAAAAAAGTATGAAATAATTATTTAAGCATTGAGGTTACAGTATAATTACTCCTACAGATGTTCAGGCCATATTTCCCAGAAACTGTAAATATGTGACCTTAAATGGCAAGTAAACTTTGATGATGTCATTAAATTAGAGGTATTCAGATGGAAAAGTTATTCTAGCTTATCTGTATGAGTTCACTGTAATCAGAAGGGTTCCTACAGAGTAACGTAGGAGGCTTTGGGTGATTCTAAAAGTATAAGTGATGAAAGAAAAATAAATAGAAAAAATGTATACATTAAAATTAAAAACTTTGCACTGCAAAGTCTACCAATAAGAAAGACAACACGGATATAGAATAGATATTTACAAATCATATGTCTGATAAAGAAGTTGTACCCAGAATACATAAAGAATCCTTACAACTCAGTAACAAAAATATAAATGACCCAATTGTGCATTTATATAACACAATGTGCATATACATTTGCATATATATACATTGCATATATATACATTTGCATATAAAAATGTGCAAATGATCTGAATACATATTTTTCCAAAGATCTATAAATAGCCAGTAAGCACATGAATTGATGCTCCATATCATTAGAGAAATTACCCATTAGAGAAATGCAAATCAAGGCCTCAGTGAGCTACTACTTCAGACCTACCAGGGTAGCTTTAATATAATAGATAATGAAAAGTATTGGCCAGAATGTTCAAAACTTGGGACCCTCAAATGTTGTTGGTTCGAATGTAAAGTGATGCAGTCAGTTTGGAAAATATTTTGACATTTCCTCAAAACATTACACATAAAGTTACCATAGTACCCAGCAATTCTACTCCTAGACATACTCATATACCCAAGATAAATGAAAGTGAAATAAACACACATCCACACAAAACTTGTACACAAATATTTAGAACGGCATTACTTACAATAGCCAAACAATGGAACCAAGGCAAATGTTCAGTAACTGATTTATGGATAAGCAAAGTGTGTTATATAAATATAGTGGAGTATCACTTGGTCCTAAAAAGGAATGAAGTGCTGATACATGCTAACACTTGGATGAACCTTGAAAATATTATGCCAGGTGAAAGAAGCCAATTTAAAAAGATGATATTGTGTGATTCCTTTGTATGAAATATCCAGAATAAGCAAATCTATAGAGACAATATATATGAGTAGTTGCCTTGGGCTGGGAAGTTGTAGGAGAAATGGTGAATGATTGCTACTGAATGCAGGACTTCTTTATAATGTTGATTTAAATATCCTAAAATTGATTGTGGTGATGGTTGCACAACTCTGTGAACATACTAAAAGTCATAGAATTGTTCACTTTAAATGGATGGATTTTATGGTATGTGAATTATATCTCAATCAAACTTTTAAAAAATTATATTGCCCCCGCAAATTGTTGACCTGCTATTTTCTTCCATATTCTTAGTAAAATATACTGGAAAACAGAGAAAATAAAAGCAAGAAGGAAAGGTCAACCTGTGGTCAAAATTAGAAGTTTTTAGTAATTGCAATTTGAGAGGAATCATATTTTAAAAATACAATTTGTGTAGTCTCTTCTCAGCCAAGTCAAAAAAAAAAAAAAAAAAAAAAAAAGCAAAAGTGGTAGCTGACCACTCCTTAAACTTCTCTAGATAGGTAGACATAACGTTTTATTTAAAACAAATTATTTGTAATACTGGGCTGAAAAGTAAATTTATGTCAACCTTGAAAATGAGCTACTGCTCTTCCCTGTGTGTACTAATTTTTCTTCATCCATTTTAGTTCTTTCTCAACATTGGTTTCTTCCTTCAACATTCTTCTTTCTTCAATATTGGTTTCTCATCAGGAGAGAGAGATACTCAGAAAACAACAAGCCAGCATGGATTTAGGGAGGAAGTTGTGGTGAGGAATGACATCTTGGGAGCTGCAAAAATCGTAGTTCAGAGGAGAGATGGGGAACTAAAAGGGATTATATTAACAGTGCATAGTAAAGTCTGTTATTTCTCCCGAACTGCACCTGTTTAGGGTGAGAGCAGGCCAGAAAGTGAGATTTGAGAAATGTGCAATCTCAGACCTGAATAACTGCATGAATTAAAGTTGGCTAGATATGAAAATTAAACTAAAAGTTTTGCAAACAAAATTGCCATCCTGCTGTAGATATGAAAACAGAATTCAGACAGCATCCATATTGCTGGAGAGTGAAGTCAAAAGCCATGCTACAGTAAAATGGACTAATTGAATTTCGTATTAAAAAGAAAACTCTAGAGTCTTCATAGTTCTCATGGTTAAAGGTTACATTCTCTGGAGATTATATACATATACATGTATATATATGTATAATTAAAAAGCCAAGTATCTCAGAAAAACTGTTTCTTTTAATAACATTTAAATAAAATAATAATTGTTAACAAGAAACAGAGGAAGTAAAAGTTTAAACTTTGCTTCTAAGTGGTTTATTTCTACTCCTCCTCTTTTTAAACAGCATGCAGCAGTAAGTAATTTATGAACCACATTAGTTAATACAAAGGATATTGGTAACATATTTTTAAATTTTTTAAATTCACATATTTTAATTGAAAATTGTCAATAAAATTAGTAACATTCTAACTGAAAGTAATTTTAGTGTTGTTGTGGTTCAAATAAATGTTCACAGAAATTGAACTGAGAGGAAATTATTTGTGTATTATTTGTTCAAGGAAAAGATGGTTTGAATCCCAATACAGTATTCCATCCATGTTTAGTGTCTCTTGATCAAACATTCAATTCAACACACATTTATTGGCACTACTATGGCCAAGAGTTGCTGAATGTTGAAAAACGTTTTAAATGTACTAGGAGATATGACTTATTTTAATAATACTATGCTTTGTTTTTCAAAAAAATTAATAGTAACATTTATGGTTTCTTCCTTATAAATTAACATTCTCATTTGAGTTTTCTCACAATATGGCACACAATTTAGTTCATATTTATACTCTGGATGTTGACTTTAAGCACAACAAACAAATAAACCCATATACATCAAATGTCACTCATATGTTTGGTAATTACTTACTGGAGACCTGTTCTATTTTCCAGTGTAATCAATCACACAGACAGTAGGAAAACAGACAGTCATTTCTTAGGACTTATGCAGACCTACAAGAGCATCACCTTGGCTTAGTTAGATGAAGATCTTCTGTTGTATGGAAAGCCTAGCCTGATGTTTGTATGTTCCTGGAAAATAAAAGGGCTCACATAAGTATGTTACTGGCAGACATCTCTAGAAGCAATCCAGCCCTAGGCTTAGAGTCCATTCCAAAAATCAGATAACCTATGAGTGTGGTCTGGCAATTCTTTTGATCTCTTTACCTGATCCTTCAGTGTGCAGGGTGTACTCACATATATTTTATTGGCCTTCAAGGCCAGCTCACTCTGCATCACCAGAAAATGGCTTACCTTTACTTGGGCTACAGCCCTTGAACTATAGCTAATAGAGATAATGATTACTATATTCTCGGCATTGTTTCAACCTTTCTAAAAGTTATTAGCTTCGTTAATTGTCACAACAACACTGTGAGGTGGATATTGTTACTATTACCTTTTATTTTACAGATTCTTTTTTAAGTGGAGCATAGGGAGGTTGAGTAACTTCTTGCATTTAAACCCAGGTCACCTGGGCAGCAGCCTTCATGTCCTAAATCACCATGTTTCAACCATCCAGCAATCTTTCCGCAAAGTGACAGTGGAAGTACTCTAAGGTGCTAAGGTGCAGTGAACCAGACTGAAATTCAACAAGTACCCTCAGGAGTTTGGCCTGGCACATAAGAAAGAAATTGTAAGAGGATGTGCATTTTAGCCAGTTCTCTTGACTTCTTGTAATTACAGAAAGAAAAGGCAATACTGTTTGATTTTTGTTTCTTGGTTTCTTTGTTTTTCTTATAAGATGAGAAAACAAGGGAGACATCAGATCTCATACCTTATTTTAACAAGCTTTTATATTATCATTTTCAATTTATAATTACTCCAAAATTCAGGGAACATAAACATTTAGGAGTCATTTTTTAAACGATTCTTATAATATAGCTTTTTCTTTATTTTTATTCTTCTCTTAATTTTCTCCACAACTTATTTTTTTTATACTGGTCCTCACTGCCTTTATTCAAACTGAAGACTTTCCAGCACTTTAAAGTATTATTTGTATAAGGTAGTTAAAACATTTTATAAAATTGCATCTTGAGTTATATATTTTAAAAGAGTCATATACTCAATGAAAGAATCTTTAGAGCTCAGATTTGTAGCCAAGACAGTTTTTGTGTGAGAAAAATGCATAAACTTATTTAGCATGCAAGTCTAATGCTGTGAATTACTCTGATCCATCCTTTTGGATACCTAAAATGAATAATGCCGAAGTTGCAATACAAATAAAACAACCCTGAGAAAATTTGGGTAGAATATGCTTAAGGCATCAGATTTAAATTTCCTAAAACTAATATATTCTAATAAGGTATAACTAGAGTATGTGAGAAAGGATTTTGGTATTGAATTTGAGTCTAATTTGGCCTTGTATTTGACCTATTTGTCTTATCAGAACTTAATGGCTGCCTTTATTTCAAGAAATGTCCAGTATATGAGAAATTTTGAAATTCATTACATTCTTCTAGCATGCAACTTATTAGCCAAATATCCCAGTAGCCATTATGAGAACAGGAACACAGGAGCCATAGATGTAGTACACCTTTAAGCTGTCATTTAGTGAGTGCCCATCTCAAATGGCATTCTCAAACTCAGAATCTTAGAGTATGTGAACAGTCCCAAATATCTGAGAAACAGCCTTATCTTCCATAAAGTATTAATGAACTCATACAAAACAGGCGTGATACTGTTGTGAGACTGGGGTATTCTAGAAAACTGGCAAGCTGGTAATACAATGAAGACTGAGGAAATCCCAATAGCTCTTCAGACTCCATTAGTTTTTTGAGAGATTGATTTCCTTTCATGATATACAGGAACAATATCTCTTTGAAAAGTGGAAGGCTTTGGCTGTATACCCTGGAATACAATGTCATTTCAGATTTCAAAGCTATTGTCTAAAACAAAGATCTATGAAAGAAAACAAACCTCTTTGTCTAAGTCATTAGAATATCCATGACATATAGTCATGGATAATTATTTGCTTCTGAACAGAAAACAATAGTTAATAGAGTAATGAAAAAATGTGGCTAAATTTTTTCAACATCATATAAAAAGCAATTAATTTTTAGGTAACTCGAATTTAAAGTGATTTCCAATTGCATATTTAAAAGCACAAAGTAAGAAGACCCATTGACCAAGTTAGAGCATACATTTTAGTGATGCTTGAAAAGAGACAAGCAAGAAAATGGAATCCCAATGACCAATAAAACTAGTGTAAGGTTGGTTTCTGAAGTCCTGAAGCAGATGAGAACTAGTCATAGTGGTTCAAGCATCCAGACTGCTCTATGTCTCACATACTTAAAACTTTCCAAGGCGATATCTTAGAATTTCACTTGAGCCCCAGATTTTGTCACTTGTGACAAGACAGTATTACCAATAATAAGGATAGTCATTACATTAATGCAAAAGCAAACTGCCTGCACCATCACTTTTTGATGGAATATATACTAGATATGGGTAATTGATAAATACCTGGTCAGTTACACATAGTTGCTGAAATAGTAATAACTAAAAAAATTGGCACCCTAACCTGCAGAAACCAAGATTTAGAACTCGCTACCTGAATAGACAAAGCTTTGCTCCACATCTTGACCTCCCATCTCAGGATACTCTTTCAATTCTAGCCAATGATCAAGCAGATCTGTGTTCTTGGAGTTTTGGGTAAGAAATCATGGATGCTATATTATTAAAAACTCATTCAGACACTTGCACACATATGTTTATTGCAGCACTACTCACAATAGCAAAGACTTGGAACCAACCCAAATGTCCATCAATGATAGGCTGGATTAAGAAAATGTGGCACATATACACCATGGAATACTATGCAGCCATAAAAAAAGGATGAGTTCATGTACTTTGTAGGGACATGGATGAACCTGGAAACCATCATTCTGAGCAAACTATCACAAGGATAGAAAACCAAACACCGCATGTTCTCACTCATAGGTGGGAATTGAACAAGGAGAACACTTGGACACAGGATGGGGAACATCACACACCAGGGCTTGTTGTGGGGTGGTTGGGGGGCGGGGGATAGCATTAGGAGATACACCTAATGTAAATGACGAATTAATGGGTGCAGCACACCAACATGGCACATGTATACATATGTAACACACCTGCACATTGTGCACATGTACCCTAGAACTTAAAGTACAATTAAAAAAATTTTAAAAAACTGGTTCCCATTGTCTGAGGAGAAGATGTTATCTCATGTCCTCCTTAATTGATCTAGGAGCATTGTTAGCACTCAAAAAGTTGTGTCAGCAAGGTAAAATGTGATTGTGGCACGTTCAATTTAAAGAATGTATGTATCTTGGGAGAAAATAATAGATGCAGTGATTTCAACCACAAAGAATTATACTCAGTATTCTTTCTTAAATGCATGTAA
The DNA here is from genome assembly GCF_000001405.40 of Homo sapiens. NCBI lineage: Eukaryota > Metazoa > Chordata > Mammalia > Primates > Hominidae > Homo > Homo sapiens. The sequence continues at coordinate 107,712 of NW_025791791.1, forward strand.
GAAGATTTCATTACAAGGCGAGACCAAGTCTGATTTTTATCTAATGAACTAAAGCTTTCTGCCACTGAGTCATTTCAGTAACACACTTGAATACACAATGTATGGCCATGTCAGTCTCTGATAGATTAGCCAGCAAAGGGAATACTCAAGTTTGTTTAAGCTGGGTGATTGCAAATTTCTATTCTGTATATGTTATTTTAATGAAGTGCTCAAAAGAGAGATAACTTACAGTTAATGCTTAATATATGTCATGAAGATTTCTTGGTTATATATTTAATTCTCAAAAATACCTGCAAAAAAATGTTTTCTAAAGTGTTCTACTGAGGGTAGGTGAAGCCCAAAAATTTATAACTAAAAAACAAAAACATATTATAGTTCAAGATTCATTTCAGTCTAAAACATAGGGAATCTTTAAATACCTGCCTTAGTTGGGACACCAATGTTTATTTTTCACTATAATTTTTGTTGAAGTTTCTTAGTTGCGTATTCATAGAAGAGTGATGATTTGTTGAAACCTGAATCAAAAACATCTTAATTTCTCCAACCTTGAGGGCAAAGGCTGAAAGACAGTAAAAAAGAAAGCAAATGGGAAACACTAAAATAACTTATATTGTTAACAGTATTTTTTTTCTATGCATGAAGTATAGAGATTAGGAAGGAGATGCTGTCACTAGATTATGATTACTTCATATAAAGGTCTATGTCTTACTCATCTTTGTGTCCATAGGATCCTAACACAGTATCTACTATCTGAATAGACACTCAAAACATACTTCCAACATATTTTTTTTTTTGGACTGTATATGTCTAGAAGTTTACGAGTTTATGTAAGATTGACTTCATTCTTGCTTCATGACATTTGGAATGTGCAGTTGTTCTCAAACTTGGATTCACACAGATGCCTGGGGTTCCCATGCCCAGAGACTATGGTTCAGTCTTGGGTAAAAGCCTGGGGACCACCATTTTTTAAAAGACTTCTAGGTGATTCTATTGTGCAGCAGGCTGGAGATTCACTACCATTGTCCAAAAGCAGTGATTCTCAATCCATAAAGTGCATGCAAATCATCTGGTGATCTTGTTAAAATGCAGATTCTGATCTAGAATGTTGGGAGCAGGGCCTGACATTTTTCATTTATAACAAGCATCCAACTGATGATATTGCTGAGAGTAGGGTGGCCAACCATTCTGGTTTGCTGAGGATATGAGACTTCAGTGCTAACCCAGGAATGTTCTTGGTAAACTGGGACAACAGTAACCCTAATTGTGGGTCTGTGGACTACACTTTATGTGATAAGGTCCTAGGGCAGAGGTTCTCAAACTACAGCATGCTTTAGAATCATCCATAATGCTTTCTAAAACTCAGATTGCTGGTACCTACCCCCAGAATTTCTCCTTCTGTACAACTGAGTTAGATGTTGAGATTGTACATTTATTAAAAGTGCCTAGGCAGGGCTCAGTGGCTTACAGTTGTAATCCCAGCATTTTGGGAGGCTGAGGCAGGCAGATCACATGAGGTCAGGAGTTCGAGACCACTCTGGCCAACATGGTAAAACCCTGTCTCTACTAAAAATACAAAAATTAGCTGGGCTTGGTGGCACGCTCCTGTAGTCCCAGCTACTTGGGAGGAGAGTCACTTGAACCTGGGGGGCAGAGGTTGCATTGAGCCGAGATTATGCCATTGCACTCCAGCCTGGGGGACAAAGAGAGACCCTGTCTCAAAAAAACAAAACAAAACAAAACAAAAGTACCTAGATGAGACTGATACTGCTAGTTTGGGGCTGCTGTTTGTGAACCACTATTCTAAACCACCATTAGTCAAACTTGTCTGCAGATTCGTTTTGCATGGAGAGGCTTTTGAACTACTGTTGCCTGGGCCTCAACACCAGTGGTTGTTCTAGGGTCCATCCTAGGATTTTACAATGTACCCCAAGTAGTTTTAATGAGCAGTCGAGTTTGAGATTGACAGTGAATATGTATCTTATAATTATCTGCAGTTCAAATATGAATTAGTTTTTGCATATTTGACATTCATGTTTGTTCATGTCACACTCATGATCACAGAGAGTGATCAGCCTGGGCAACATAGTAAGAGCCTGTTTCTACAAAAAGTACACACACGAAAAATATCCAGATATGGTAGCGCATTCCTGAGGTTCTAGCTACTAGGGAGGCTGAGGCAGAAGGATTGCTTGAGCCCAGGAGTGTGAGGTTGCAGTGAGCTACAATTGTGTCACTGCACTCCAGCCTGGCCAACAGAATAAGGCCCCATCTCTAAAATGTTTTCTTCTATTTTATTTCACATTCTCTGTATTTTTTAAATTTTATGTCATTAAAAATGTATTTTATTATCATGTTAGCGTCATTTTTGGAAGGAGTTGTGGTACGGTGGAAAACCATGAACCCCTCTAATTTTTGTTGTACAAGTACAAGTGGTGAAAATACAATGCTTGTAGTCTTTTCCTGCTTGGAAAGAAGTGTTGTCCTCATCTCATAGACCATCCTTTCTTAGTTAGGAAAGGTGAGATAAGAATGGCTGTTACAGAAAATAAGACCATTTTGGCTTATGTAACCTGAGCAAGAGGTGCTCTTCCTGGTACACACTTACTTAGTTCAGCAGGCTACCACACGAAAGTTCGAGGTCAAAATTCCAGCTAGTAATCAGAATTTCTTTGTCTCTTATTGTCCTCTGGGAATATAATTTCCTTGGCATATTGCAGAACTGGTAAATTAGTAAGTAAAACATCATTTGTGCATTCCTGAGTTTTCTGTATATATATATATACACACACACACACACACACACACACACACACATATGTGTATATATATATACATATATATAAAACATATATATGTCCTTCAACATATGTAACTATGAATAACTATGCTGTATACATACAGTTTCCAATTTGCAGTTTCAATATAGTATACAGTATTCAATGAATTATGTTAGATATTCATATTTTATTATGAAAGTGGCTTTGTGTTAGATAATTTTGCCCAACTGTAGGCTAATGTAAGTGTTCTTAGCACGTTTAAGGTAGGTTAGGCTAAGATATAATGTTTGATAAGTTAGGTATATTAAATGAATTTTAGACTTAGAATATTTTCAACTGATGATGAGTTTTCCTGGACATAACCCCATTGTAAGTTGAGAAACATCTGTATGTCTACTATGTATACACACACACACACACAATTTTCAAAATATAAATTTCAAGAATATTACACACTTAAATTTTAATAGTCTTTTGCTGGATTATAGGAATTTAGGTGTATTCTTCATTTATATTTTCCAAGTTATCTACCAAAGAATATATATTGCATGTTTAATAAGGAAGAAGTGATAAAGAAATTGCAACTCAGGGACTCCACTTTTGGTGAATGTAAATGTTATCTGTTTCTTGAGATGTTAAAAAAAGTTAAGAGAAGATAATTATGAGAGAAGCTTGAACTGAATGGGAAGTTCCTGCCATGCTTTAGGATCAATTATTAAATTCCAAGCTGGTGTCTAGGAAAACCAGGTTAAAATTGCCTTTCTACCAAGCTTGAAGTTACCCTGCAGTCCTCTTTTCAGCTTCCTCGAAACTTGAGGAGATCTTTGGGACAGAAAATCAGTGGCAATGTTGCTATCTAGGGTGAATGGCTGTATTGCTCCCATCTCATGCCTAACAGAGAGTCCCTTGCCTGGGTGTTCTAACACAGAAGACACGTCTTTTTCTGAGGCTGCTGTGTACATTTTTTTCAATGCGTCTTGTCAACCTGGGCAAGAAAATGAGGACTAGAGGGGATTGTCATGAACATTGTTCAATGCACTTGCTCTGTCAAATTGTTTTTTAATATTTTACTCAGCCCAGAAATGAGTTTAACAGTTTTCTGTAGCACAGTAATTTCCAGAATGCATGTGTGAGGCCACTGAGCCGTTGTGTTCCTCATCAGAGTTAAAGGAATTGTATTAATCTTTTCATAGTCTCCCTTCGCATACAGCAGAGTGACTGATTGCTTGGCATATGCTAGTGTGCCACATGGTACCAAACAGATGGAGAGCATTCAGGCAGAAGCTGGGTCGAGCCAAGATGTGCTCCACAATTTTGTGTTTGTGAAGAGAAACAACTGGGCGGGCTTTCTTTGCTTCCTCTGGTATTTGGATTCTGAACTAGGAGGGGGGAAAAATCACCCTGAATTAATCGCTGTCACTTCTATTGATCTGGATTCTATTAAGTGAGAACACATTTGCAATTAATCCACAGAGGCAGAGCAACTCAAATAAATTAGTTTATGATGGGCATTATAAAATGTATCAAGAGATTTTGTTCTTTCATTTCAGAAATAGAAAATTATTAATGTTTTTGCAAACTTAATTCTCTTGCTCTTAATTTGTGTTGCACATCTCTGGTTCATTCATTTATTTTAGCAAATATTTGTAACACACTCATTATACCAGGCACTGATTTAAGAACTGGAGATAATGTGAGAAATAAAAGGTAGAAGCCCTGGTACTCATATCACTTACATTTTAGTAGATAGGAAATAAAAGTAGAAATAATCTAAATAAATTTAAAAAATATGTTAGGTGGTAAGTGCTACAGAGAATAACACAGGTTAGTAACACAGGGAAGAAACTACCTATGGAGCAGAAGGTTTATTATGTTTTTATTTATTATTATTATTATTATTGAGATGGGGGTCTCACTCTGTCACCTGGGCTGGAGCGCAGTGGTGTGATCTTGGCTCACTGCAGCCTCTGCTTCCCAGGCTCAATCGATCCTACCACCTCAGCCTCCTGAGTAGGTGGGACTACAGGAATATGCCACCATGCCAGGCTAATTTTTGTATTTTTTTGTGGACATGGGGTTTTGCCATGCTGCCCAGGCTGATCTCGAACTCCTCAGCTCAAGCAATCCACCTTCCTTGGCCTTCCAAATTGCTGGGATTACAGACATGAGCCACTGCACCCGGTCTGGTTTATTGTTTTATATAAGAAAATTATGGAAGCTATCCCCATTGAGGTGACACTTGAAAGTGAGTAAGACCTCTGCACAGAGGAGGAAAGAAAATGTAAAGGTTCTGAGGTGAAGTCATGCAAGGCTACTTAGCATACTTGAGAAATAACAAAGGGCCGTTGCAGTTGAAGTAAGATGAGAAAGCAGGAAAGAGGTGAGAAAGCAGAAAGGAAGGCAGGTATCAGTTCATGTAGGGACTTTTAGGCATCTGTAAGGACTTAGATACTATTCTATGTGAGAAAGGAGACTACTTAGAGTACTTAAAACAAAGAAAGGACATACTTTGACTTACATTTCAAAGAGGTCAGCCTAGATGCTTGTTTGAGTTTTACAGAAAGACAACAGTTGATTCAGACCTTATGGAAGAATTCAGTAACAATCAAGATGTAAGATGATAGTGGCATAGCCCAAGATGGTGGCAGAGAATTATGATAAGTAGTTGTATTCTGGATATAAGTTGAGAAAATTACGAACAGGGTTTGATGATATATCTATTGTGAGGTGAAAGATACAAAAAAGGTTTAAAAGAATACTCCTTAAAATTATAATAGAGGCTGGTATTTCTGGAATGGTAGGACACAGACCTCTGAAAATTCTCCCTTTCAAAGAGGCAATAAGAATACTGTTAAAAATGGACAGAATAAATTTTTTCAGAATTCTGAAAATTAACCAAAGACATGCAGCAATGTAGGGAGCATTTACTTAATAAAGATTGTTGAATCTTGGTAAAACCTGTAAATTTTTTGGTAAATTTTCCCTATTCCCATTACTCCTTTCCAATTCTATGGTAGACTTGAAAACTAAGAGTTGACACTCACGGGGAAAACCAGCAGGCTGGTAGCCACCTGAGGAAGCACCAAGAAAAGATGGGCAAAAGATTTAAACAGACATTTCTTCAAAGAAGATATACAAGTGGATGATAATTACATAAAAATATACTCAGCATCATTAATCATTATGGAAATGCAAGTCAAAAGCACAATGAGATACCACTTCACTCCCATATCGATGCCTGTAGTTTTAAAACATGAAAAATAATAAGTGTTAGCAAGGATGTTGTGAAATTATTAGGTTGGTACAAATGTATTTACGGTTTTTGCCATTGAAAGTAATGGCAAACCGCAATTACTTCTGCACCAACCTAATAGAACACTTACACTTTGTTGGTGTGAATGTACAGTGGCACAAATGCTTTGAAAACCAGTTTAGTTGATCCTCCAACAGTTAAACATAAAGTTATTGTGTGATCTAGCAATTATATTCTTATATACACTCAGGCACTGCATAATGGCATATTAGTCAATAAAGAACCACTATATGACAGTGGTCCCATACAATTATAATACCGTATTTTTACTGTAGCTTTTCTATGTGTAGGCATGTTTAGATACACAAATACTTACCATTGTGTTATAATTGTCTACAGTATGCAATACAGTAAATTGCTGTACAGGTTTACAGCCTAGGAGCAATAAGCTATAACTTATAGCCTAGGTGGGTTGTTGGCTATACCATCTGGATTTGTGTAAGTACATTATATGATCTTTGCTCAACAATGAAATCTCCTAATGACACATTTCTAATAATGTATTCTCATCTTTAAGTGACCTATGACTTTGTATATATCCAAAAATGAAAATATATGACAAAAATACTTGTACATAAATGTTTATGGAAGTATTATTCATGATAGACACAAATTTTGAAACAGTTCAAATGTCTATAAACTCACAAATCAGTAATCAAAAGGTAGTATATCTATACACAGGAATATCATTCCACCATAAAAAGGGAAGAAGTAAGTACCCAATACATGAAGCAAGATAAATAAACCTTGAAAATATGCTGAATGAGAGAAACCAGATATAAAAGGCCACATATTATATGATTTTATTTATATAAAATATTCTTCTTTACAAATTCTCTTAAAAAGGGGTCAGCTCCAGGCAGTTCTATTTGGTACAATGTGATCACTGTCCTCTTAGCCACATCCACAGTTGGACTACAGTGAGCCCCCTACATAAGGGCAGTTAGTTGAAGGCTGACTACCAACCTGGGATGTGACCTGTTGAATTGGGTTATTGGCATTCACGCTATTGGATAAGTAAGTAGAAATACTAAAATTATAAGGCATTTGGCAGTTTAATCAGGATTGCAACAGTGAATAGGTGGTACTCTCAAATTAGAATAATTTAAAACGGACTTAATAAAGTCACAGAGGTGGGGTGTGGACAAAGAAAAAAAGCTTGGGGTGGGCAAGGGATGGGCATTTCTGTCAGAGGAGATAATAGCTGGCTGGTCCCAGGAAGGCTTAGGACACTAAGAAGGGTATGGAAAGACTGGAGCATAAGGCATCAGGGAAAAAACATACGGAGGTGAGACTTAAAAAGTTTGGAAGTAACAAAACACAAAAGCATTTTTTTATAAAGTATGGTAATGTAAGACATAAATGGATTGAAAGCTCTCTTAAGGGATGCTCACAATTTGAGGACTCTAGAGTTGTATAATCTCTGCAAAGATTTTAATACTTTTTTTTCTGTAGAATCAAGCACATATTATTGGGTCACTGAATTTAATAAATGCCTTCATATTTCTGTAAAAGAAGCTGAACCTCCCTTCTCCTCTGAGTTAAGTACCAAAAAATTCTAACCGTGAAGTCTGTTTCCCTTTTCTGAATGATCGTTCTTTTTCCTTTCATCCTCTTTTGAATCTCTTCTGGGCTAAATGCTGCTATAAAATCTGCAAAAGCCTATAATGCTTCCAAAATGGGTCCCTAATTCTAGATAGGAGAGTCAAATACATTCACACCCACCTATAAAATGCCTAAGGAATAGCCACTCCCGGTAGAATTTACTCACAACAAAATTTCTTAGCAACTTAGTTTTGTTGAAAAAGTTGGCTTTTAATGGAAGTAGATATTTAAATATTTATTTTAACAATCAACTTTTGTGAATGTGAGCCAAACAGAACTTCTGGGAAGATGGAGTACATCTTTTTGTTTTTCATTTGTTTGTTTTGTTTTTTGTTTTTCCCTATTCCTCCTTTTAAGTATAGAAAAAGAGGCAGCATTACAAGACAAAAACTTTTAGATAATAGCTGCTCTACTCTAGCAAAGCACCTCAGATAAAACTGAGATACTTCTTTTATTCAGGAAAAACTGAGTGGGAAACATAGATGTCTATTCTCATCAGGTTATAATGGGTGGCCCCAGTCCCCTCCCCACACCAAGGTGGTGTCAGAGAAGGTTGAATAGGGAGCTGAAAATTTCATTCTGGAAGGGATGGCAACCACCCCTGGCCCCATGGTGACGTGGAGACCACATAAAGAGGTACTACTTCTTCCTGCTGGGATGAAAACAGGAGACATCAAATGACGTGCCAGGACTCCCACCACCACTAATTGCCAATGAGGTACCCATCCATGGTGTCAGTGGAAGCCAAATGTGGAGCAGTAATGAAGTACTCCAACCCATCCACGGATGGAGCAGTGAAGGCCTAGCTGGGAGCCGGAACTCCCATTTCTGTCCAGCATTCACAAAGAGCCTAGTCTTTGAATGCCAACAGAGGCTGAGTGGCGAACTTGGAAATCTATTTCTACCTTTGCCTGCATGGGGCCAGGAAAGGCAAACCCAGTGAGCAGTGTACTCAAGCAAGTGGTAATTGTTTTTATGATCCAAGACCACATCCACCCCAAATGACAATGCAGGTGGCTGAACTAGAATTAAGTTTGAATTTATCAGGCACTTTTTTATTCAGATGGCCATTCAGAAACATATAAGGCAAGCTTCCTCAGAGTAGAAGTCAAGAGGAAGAAGAAACATCATGCCTAGGACTGGTCATAGCAAAATACCTGATTTTTTAAATAGTTTATCTAACTCAACATTTCTTTCATTAACAAAGATAAGTAAACCTTTGTTGTGGACAACCATTTTTAATTACTAAACTGCCTTGCTAAGGTGTATGGACGAGGAGAAGGTGAGAGCAATAGAGAGCAGAAACCTTTTTGAGTTTATTTTTAGAAGTCCATTCCACCTCATGATGATGTCAGCAACCTGGGGAAAATAAAGGGTATGAAGTGTCCATCAAATGCTGTGACAATTGACCTACTGTTGAGCAGTCTTTGCTACAAAATGTACACCATTATCATTGACTATGGATGAGCTGAAAACATGATAGTTTTGTTTCAAGGGAAAATATGTTACCAGAATCAGCTGGTCAGACTGAAATAGTAGTGAGGCCCCGTTGCCCAGAGGAATGGGCAAATACTCCAATGTGGTCAATTTGCCAGAAGTAAGCAGAGGCAAACCCCATGCATTATAGCCTCTGTCACCATGAAACAAATGGGAGAATTATTGGTGAGAGTCACCACATGAAATATTTGATGTGCAAGGATAGCATTTGCATCATAAACACATAGTCTTTAGCTTTGTGCCCATTCCGTGATGTTGGATGGATTACCATGTCTGGTTTGATTATAGATCTAGGTAGAGTTTTCAGTGAACAGGCAGTGCTATCTTGATCAGTAATTTGATTGCAGTCAATGTCATCAGAGAATGGGCCCTAACTGTGGGTGTCTACCTGAGTGATCCAGACTGTTCAATTAGCAGCAGTGATTTATTTCTGCGTTTTATGGCCTGGAAGAGAGAAATCTTTAATATGTGAGTCTGCAGTCTTCCAAGTAGCAACTCATAGGACTAGGACATTGGCAGCAAGCCAAAGTTCAGTAAAATATGTCATACCTAGTTCTTAGGAATATTGTCCTAGGCAAGAGTCACGACTTTCAGTTTAGCCCATTGTTTTGATTTGCCCTTACTGCTGTGATTCTTCCACAGTTGCTATTGCCCCATGTAAGCTCCTTGAATTATTCTACCTGCACTTTTCTGTTAGTTCTTTCTCTGGTTGTGGTAGTTTTCCCACATGCTTATGTGAGACGGCTTATGTTAGTCCTCTGCATATCTCCAGAGCTCTGCTCTCCTTGAACTTGGAAGTCTTTTTCCTTAACTCATTGAGATTGCTGAGCTCTGTTAAGATTCTTAACTCCTCTGTTTTAAGGTCTGTCTGCAGCCAGTAAGCTGGGGAAATCATAGGGCACATCTAGCTTGGTCCTTTTCTCAGTGATCACTGTTCTACGCTGCTGGTTATCCAATGTCTTAAACTATCATTTCATGTATTTTATCCAGTTTATAGTTTTTCAGAATGGGAGGTTAAATCTGGCTCCTTTACGCCATCATGACCAAAAGTGGAAGCTCCCTAATCTCTTTTGTAGTTGGAGAAATACAAAGGTGTTTTTTTTTTTCCTTACACTTACTTCCTTTAGAAAGATCCTTACTCTGAGAGAAAAAATAAGGGCCAGGATGGCTGAGAGGTGAAAAAAAAAAAAAGGCAACTTAGGATATATCCAGAAATAAAAATTGTCCAAGAGCTTGGTGTGTTATTTGTCCTATGTTTCTAAGGATCTTAATCACCACATGAGTATATATGCTGCAGAGTCTCAGCCCTAATTCATAAAATGATAAAGCAAAGGAAATACCCAAGCTTTTTCAGGGGGTGCAGAGCCTCATCAATGGCATTGCAGGATGCTCCTATGATTATGAGTTTATTGACCTCCTCTCTATCCTGCTTCTTACACACTCTCCTTGGCAAGTACACTCTTTGAATGAGACTGATGAAATACAGCCTGAGCAGGGAGCAGTCTCAGCATCACAGCACCACTTTGATGAGCCACAGGCTGAAGATAAATGACTAGGGAATATATCCAATTTATTCATTGGATTTTCCCATATAATTTCCAGCCAAGATTCCTTACAGGGCAAAGGAAAAGCCAAAGCAGACACCAGTGATTCAGTAACCTTCTCTTCCCAACTACTGTCTCCTCTCTTGACATATATATGTTTTAAAATAGCCACATGTATCTAAATGCAGATTTTGTCTCTGTCTGGATTTTAAAGTTCATCTGTTCAACATTTTTTCTTCCGTTTTAGATCTCTGTTCCCAATGATTAGTCCTGAAACATATGTTTTGCTATACTTTCAAATAGTGAGGCACGATGGCCGGGCTTTGTTGTTGTTTTCTTATGAATTCTGTAAATTTCACTCACCTTTTGACTAATTTTCCATTCTTAGTACTATAGCAGAAGTCGGTAAGTGACCTGTCTCTTTTTTAAGTGTGTGAAAGGGGAAGGGAGAAAGGACAATTATTTTGTAGCCATTAAGAACATTTTTACTCTGTAGCAGGCTCCGTACTTGTGATTGTATATAGGGTATCACATTAACCTTGTGGTTTAGTTATTAACTATTCTGAAAACAGATGAAGAAATTCAGACTCAGAAAAACCCAGACCTGTGCCTAGTTTGTTTCAATTCCCCAGATTAACAAGTCTTTCCCTTATATTCTTCTACTTCTCAAATTTATTTTGAAAAATTAAGCAGTGTCAGTGTTTTTCTTTTATTTTTATACACATTTATCTAAAAAGTAATATAAAAATCTATTCTTGTTATAATATTTATGAGCAATTCACAGTGGCTAAATGCCATTAATTTTTACTCAAACCCCATTCTTCTCCTCTGAGTAACCAATGATAATAATTTTGAGTCTTGTATTGTTTACATACAGATATATGTAAGAGCACAAATTTACAATTTAGTAACTTTTTAAAAAATGGCATTACATTATGTATTATGTTCTGCGATTTTCTTACTTTTTGATTTAAAACTAAGTCTTTGATTTTTTTTCTACATCAAACATAATATGCAGACTTTTAAATTGCTGCATGATTATCCCATGCTATAGCTTAGTTTCAAAAAATCATTTCTCTATTGTTAGAGTATACAATATTTCTAATTTTAGGTATCATAAATAACACTGCAGCCAACCCCCATAGAGAAACATCTTTTTAAACATGTATTATTCATTTTTCTCTCTTTATTTAGCACTTTTTCATCCTTTAATTTAAGAGATTGTAGTTTAATTAGCAAATGCTCCATCCAGTAGCTCTGCCAGATTTATCTCAATCTTGCTAAGGAGTTGAAATGATCCCCTTCTCATTCTGACAGTTTTGTGCTAATATCGCCAGCCAGACATCAAAATTCCTGATTCACAGCCATTCGGCTTTTAGGAATATTGAGGGTTCCAGTGCTCACATTGTCAGAGCAGGTTCATAGAATTATAGAAATAAGAGACTGAAATGACCTACTGGGCCAACTGTTCTATACACCTGCTGGCACAAGATTGTTCCTTACAATATACATTATTAATGAGATGAACTGGAATATATTTTTTAGAATAAATCCTTCCACTTGAACAAAAAAAAGTATGATGTCTTCAATGAGAACAGGAATCCTTCCAAATGAATGATTTCAGAGTCATATAAAGAGTGGGGACATAGCCTTATTACAATCCTAACAAGATCATGTCTAGCAATGTCATTATGTCTAATTTAAAATGTTCTAAATTAGTAGCACCTCTACTGTTCTCTCAGGACACTATTTCATTATTTAAGACTGATTACCAACAGAGAAAAATTCTATCTCCAAAATAAATTTGCTAATATTCTTCAGTCTTGTCTGGGGAAAGATTGATGGCTGAAGGAATAGGACAGATTCTGACCTGTGAAATAATGACTTAAATTAAGAGGAATAGTATCGGCTGGGCACAGGGCTTACGCCTGTAATCCCAGCATTTTGGGATGCTGAGGCGGGTGGATCACGAGGTCAGGAATTCAAGATTAGACTGGCCAACATAGTGAAACCCCGTCTCTACTAAAAATACAAAAATTAGCTGAGCGTGGTGGCATGTGCCTGTAGTCCCAGCTACTCAGGAGGCTGAGGCAGGAGAATCACTTGAACCCAGGAGGTGGAGCTTGCAGTGAGCCGAGATCGCGCCACTGCACTCCAGCCTGGGCGACAGGGCGAGACTCTGTCTCAAAAAAAATAAATAAATAAAGTAAGAAGAATGATATCAAGATAGAGATGTGACCCTCCACAACACACAAAAATATAAAATTTGGTAATTTTATATACCCATATTTATTTGGCAATAAATATTCAGTTCCTAGCACAGTGCTTAGCACATACTCAATAAATGGTTCTTTCTCATACCACTGGTATAGCAAATCCCATATCTTTAAGAGAATGAAAAACAACATTCAGTTACCTTTTCTTTTTTTTCCCTTTCTTTCTTTCTTTTTTTTCTTTCTTTCTTTTTCTTCCTTCCTTTCTTCCTTCCTCCCTCCCTTTCTTTTTCTTTCTTTCTTTTTCTTTCTTTCCCCTTCCTTCCTTCCTTTCTTCCTTCCTTTTTCTTTCTTTTCCTTTCTCTCTCTCTTTCTCTTTCTCTCTTTCTCTCTCTCTCTTTCTCTCTCTCTTTCTCTCTCTCTCTTTTCTTTCTTTCCTTCCTTCTTTTTTCTTTCTTTCTCTTTCTTTCTTTCTTTCTTTCTTTCTTTCTTTCTTTCTTTCTTTCTTTCTTTCTTCTTTCTTTCTTTCTTTCTTTCTTTTCCTTCCTTCTTTCTGAGTTTTGCGCTTGTTGCCCAGGCTGGAGTGCAATGGCACAATCTTGGCTCACTGCAACCTCCGCCTCCCAGGTTTAACCTATTCTCTTGCCTCAGCTTCCCGAGTAGCTGGGATTATAGGCACCCGCCACCATGCCAAGCTAATTTTTTTGTATTTTTTAGTAGAGACGGGGTTTCACTATGTTGGCCAGACTGGTCTCGAACTCCTGACCACAGGTGATCCACCCACCGTGACCTCCCAAAGTCAGTTACCTTTTCTATACTCTGCCTTTACCTTCTGATATGGTTTGGCTGTGTCCTCATCCAAATTTCAACTTGAATTGTCTCTCCCAGAATTCCCACATATTGTGGGAGGGACCCAGAGGGAGGTAATTGAATTATGGGGGCCAGCCTCTTCTGTGCTATTCTTGTAATAGTTAATAAGTTTCACGAGATCTGATGGGTTCATCAGGGGTTTCCACTTTTGCTTTTTCCTCATTTTCTCTTACCACTGCCATGTAAGAAGTGCCTCTCACCTCCCACCATGATTGTGTGGCCTTCCAGCCATGTGGAACTCTAAGTCCAATTAAACCTCTTCTCCTTCCCAGTCTCGGGTATGTCTTTATCAGCAGTGTGAAAACTAATACACCTTCCTTCACCAATTCTTTAAAAAAAATACCTGTGAATTTAAGTATTCTGGCAGATAATGTTAAAATTTTGACTCTTTATGTATAACAACACAGAGAATCTGCTTTTTTGAATGAACGAAAAAGAAAATTGAGTCCAAATAGTTTTATTTATTTATTTTTTATTATTTATTTATTTTTTTGAGACAGAGTCTTGCTCTGTCGCCAGGCTGGAGTGCAGTGGCGCGATCTCAGCTCACTGCAACCTCCGCCTCCCAGGTTCAAGCTATTCTCCTGCCTCAGACTCCCCAGTAGCAGGGACTATAGTTGCACACCACCACGCCCAGCTAATTTTTGTATTTTTAATAGAGACAAGGTTTCACCATGTTGGCCAGGATGTTCTCGATCTCCTGACCTTGTGATCCACCCATCTCGGCCTCCCAAAGTGCTGGGATTACAGACGTGAGCCAAAATTGAGTCAAAATCGTCTTATTTCTGTGTGATGCAGAGTACTGCATCTTGAGTGATTATTTGCGTACATGTCTGTCCCTATAGTCTTTAGCCTTTTTGTGGAAAATATCTTCATATTACTCATATTTTCAAATTTATAACTTACTATAATAGCTAGTAAACCAGAGACAACGAAGATTTGTTGAATAGACAAATTAATGAACCAAAATTTCTTTCTTCTATAAGCTGAACTGTTATTATATTATCATTGTCAGTAAGACACTTTATGGATCTAGAAGAAGCTTAATAGATCAATTAATATAACAAACTCATTTTATAGATAAAAAAGATAACTAGAAAGATAATTTATAAATCAGGTTTGACTAGAGGTAAAATAATGTATTTATTTTAAGTTTGAGAAAATTATTTAGAATGAAGTATAGAAAGTAAAAATAAAAGCATTGCCATGATATAGTCATTTAATAATCCATGATTTTAACCAATAATGCATGGCCATT
Source organism: Homo sapiens (assembly GCF_000001405.40). Lineage (NCBI taxonomy): Eukaryota > Metazoa > Chordata > Mammalia > Primates > Hominidae > Homo > Homo sapiens. Next base: position 122,789 of record NW_025791791.1, read on the forward strand.
ACTGTGTTACTGGAATGTATTCCAGTGTTATTCACACTTAATCAGATATTAACCTCTTGTATTTCTAGTAATGGATGATCTAGCTCATGGAGCTCCCATTTCTCGCTTATTCATAATCTGAGATGTTCTATTATTTTAGCCTTTAGTTTTATTCTCTGGTGTCATCACAAGATGGTGCCAGTGTGTCTCTCTCACCACAGAATAAGAATCAACAGATAATCTTCATGTTACTTGCACTGGAGGTTGGATACAGGTCTGGTAAATTCCAAGGATTTTTCACATTTTATTATTTCTGTTGAAATTCCAATATCCTCTCCCAAGCAATTAGTGAATAAATCTCTCAGAGTTGCCTTCAAAGTGTATATATTTCTCTATCTAAGAGGCTCCCATGCCCATGAATGACTCATACAATACTTCTGCTGATTTCAATGAGCTTCATCCATCTATGGGAAAACACAAACAACATCCCTATACATACAGGGTTATGGTCATTATTCTTGTTATTGCCTTTTCTACCAGGAACTTCTGTATATTATGTATAAATCTCAACTCATAAACTCATCTCTTGATTTCCATAGCCTTGTAAATAATTTAATATCAGTCATATTTGTTGTTTTTCTCACTTCAAGTTTTTGGAATTGTAAACCACACTAAACATCAGGGATGACTAATTCATCACTGATTATGTTTCCTTTAAGAATTTTATTATCCAGCTGGCAACACCAATTGCCCATTGTGTCTGCGCCTTCCTTATGCATGGGAATTACCATATTGGCTGGAATTGCTGGACCCTTCCAGTCTTCTCAGTGTAATGTGTGTTCATTACTACTGAGGTTCTGCCACATCTTTGGAGATGCTGCCACATGGCATCTCCCCCCACACAGCGCCATACACAAAGACACACAGACACACAGACACAGACACACACACACACACACACACACACCACTCAACCTGCAAGAATCCTTATTTAGTCTAGAGATACAGCATGTTTCTTCAAATTCTATTATTTTCAGTGGGTTAAGACACTGGGAAACAAAAGTCTAGAAGCACAAAAACTAATCTCATATGAGGAAAGAAAGTAGAATGTGGCCACCTCCTTAAGGGGGGAAAGAAAGGGAGGAGAACATAAAAAAAAAAAACAAAAAAAAAAAAACACAGAATATGCAATAAAAACATAAGTCTCTGTCTCAAAAAATTATCGTGATAAATATATATGGAAATTCATTCAATGCTACAGACACCACATGCCACACTTTTTTTTTTAATTGCACGCTGCTTCTCTAATTCAACCAACAATGAATTGAAGTATTTTTAAAAAACATAATAAAAATAACAATACAACAATAAAAATAATAAATATTTAAAAGTAATACAGTGTAACAATTTGTACAACATCTATATTGTTATGTAAATTAAATATAAGTACTCTAGAAATGATTTAAACTATATGGGAGAAGGTATGTAGGTTATCTGCAAATACTACACTATTTTATATAAGGGACTTAAGCCTCTGTGGATTTTGGTATTCACAGGGGTTCTGGAACCAATCCCCCAAATCCTCCATGGATACCAAAGAATAACTGTATTACTATATGGAGGAAGCTTTGCCAAGTTTTGCTAAAACACTAACAACAAACAAACTGAACCAATGTCTGCAAATGGGAGAGCTCACTAACTAGCAAATGTCCCTGAATCAATGAATCGATTGCTTATGAATAAATTAATCATATAATGCCTTAATCCCCAAAGGATTTAATGCAGCACTAAATTATTAAACTACAGTGAAATATGCATAATTTTCCACTATTAATCTGACTGACTTTGATCAGTCCACAGTGAAGCTGCATCTTAAGTTAGGATAGAGTTGGATGCATATAGAAGCTACAGGATTCCTTGGTATTACATGTTCCAGTTTTTAGCTTTCCCACCCATGTATATATTATTTTAAATTTATTATTGTTATTTATTTATTTATTTGTTATTAATTAATTTATTTATTTTTTGAGATGGAGTCTCGCTCTGTCACCCAGGCTGGAGTGCAGTGGCGCGACATCAGCTCACTGCAACCTCCGCCTCCTGGGTTCAAGTGATTCTCCTGCCTCAGTCTCCTGGAGAAGCTGGGATTACAAGCATATGTCACCACGCCCGGCTAACTTTTGTATTTTTAGTAGAGATGGGGTTTTACCATGTTGGCCAGGCTGGTCTCGAGCTTCTAGCCTCAAGTGGTCTGCCCACCTCGGCCTCCCAAAGTCCTGGGATTACAGGTGTGAGCCAGGCCTGTACCAGGCCTGTTATTTGTTATTTACTCCATCATTTATTAGGATAATGAACCTTTTTCCAGTGAAACACTTCCAGATAATTCTATGCAGAAGTACCGCTTTCTTGTAACTCTGATTAACTCAAGAAACGGTAGTAAATGAATATTTTTAGGAAAGCTTTTTTCCCAACAGATTTACCAATGCTTTTCTCAAATTGGGTGTGTATGTGTGTGTGTTTTAATGAATTTGATCCAAAATCAAAATCAAAACAAAACAAAACAAAAAAACTACCCTTTGCCAAGTGACCTCAGGGTCCACTGACTTAATTAAACATTTAATCATTGAAATATTTTAAAATGTCAAAACTTCGGCAACCAAATCATTTTATGCCCCAGAGCATGCCAGACTAGGAAAAAAAAAATAGTCTATGTAGCACGCCCTTAAGGTGAACAGTGAAATGCTTAATGCATTCACAGTTCTTGTAATGAAGCTACTTCCTAGAGCAAAAGGAAATACATACATAATATTTTTTCTTAGCCTGTAGTATTTGGATGATGAGTATATCAGATTCAGTGACAGAGCTTTCTTCTTTCCTGTCTCTTACTCCTCAAGCCTCTCAATATTGATGCATTGCCTTCTTTTTCTTCGGTTTCAAGTTATATATACTGCATATTTTTCAGCATGTTCTAGTTTCTTAAACTTATCATCCTATCTTAGTTTAAATAGTTTTCCCCCAAGCTCCTTTTCTTCCCCAACATGTTAAATAATTGAGTTTGTTTTACCCATATTTTTTTCCATCTTGCCACTGCATTCTATTTCATCTTTCATACTGATTTCATTAACTTTTATGCTAATTTTTATAAAGGTCTTTAGTATTATACAGAGAGGTCGGTGGGGGGGAATGAGATGTCCTTTTATTCAGTCATTCATTTGTTCTTTTAATTATGAAACATTTACCTAATACCAATTATGAGCAAGGCCCTGCATATAAAGAAAGGCATAAGACTCATTCCTGTACTCCAAGCACTGATAGAAACCAAATAAACCAAACATCAAATTTGAGAGGATATGAAAGGTCATCTAGGTCAGCAGCTCCATTGGCAGACTATATCAGAGTCATCTCTAGGGTTTTAAAAAGTGCAGAGTTATGGATCTTGTACCTCAGACACAAAATAAGTGTTAAATTAATTTGGACACTTGAGTTATTTATTATGTATCTTAGGTGACTTTGGAATGTTGGAATGCCAATGAAGAACGACTTGAAAGCATAGATGTAGTCCAACCTACAATCAATTTCTTAAATTACTTTAGTATTATATATACAAAACAAAAAGAATTCAAGAAATCTTATTCCAACATTCCAAATATATGTATTAATACTTTAGAATGTATGTATGTATTTCATATATTACTATATACATTTATTCATATATTTCATATATACATAGATATTTCATATATTTCTAGATACATATATTCTATATTCTTAAGTATATTCTATATACTATAGTATATACTGTGTGTATATATATATTCTAAAGTATACACACACATACATGTATATATTCTTTAGATTTAGTAAATCAGAATGTCAAATTTCTGAGACAGAAAATTCTAGCTTTGGACAGCTTTGACCATTATAAATTCTTCTTGAAAAAAATAGTTATGTATCTTGAAAAGAATAGTTTATCTTCTTGAAAAAAATAGTTATGTATCTTCTACCAGTTGATTATTTTTATTTCTCTTGTTTCTGAATAGGATTGAAATCCTTGGGGGCACAAACCACACACACAGGCACACATACACACACACACACACACACACACGGTTCTGATATCTTTCTCTCAGTCCTTTGTGGTTAAAATACAATGTTACATTAAAACATGACATACAACATATGCATACAGAGATCAGATGGCTTTTTAAAAGATTGTATAATTACTACTTAACAAAGACTTTTATTCAAACTTTTTTCATGACCTTCTCTTGCTAGTATATAAACTGCATACTTACTCTGCCGAATGGTTATCCAGCAACTATTGTTATCTATATACAACTACTACAGGAATATAATGTGTTACTATCCCCCAGGCATTCATTGAATGTTTCATACTATCACATGTTATTTATTCCCACATTTTTTCCTGTTTTATCCACATAATCCAAGCTGTCTTACTCAAAGCATATACTCCTCATAATTTCACTCTACCATCTTCTAAGAATAGAAATATTTTCTCATAATATTTCAAAGATTATTTTATAGAACTTTAATGTAATTTTATATGAGTAAATAAGGTCTGCAGTTGCCCAGAGAATAACTTCTGTGTTAGGCTGGACTACCCGTGTTTCTCTCCGGCATTATCCAAACAATTATTCAAGGTTGTTTTGAGTCTCCCTCAGTGTTGTGATTCCACTGAAATTCTGTGCTCATGTTCCAAAATCACAAGTCTGTGTCTAAGGATGTTGGGAGTTGAGAGTTGTGGGAGGCCTTGTTTTCCATCTGAAACAGACACTCAAAGAAGATACCAGCATTCTAACAGACTCCAAGGCCCAAGGAGCCTTACATCTAATATCCTTTCAAACTCACTTTACTTCCTGATATTATATTAGCCAAACACTTGTGCTGAAAACAATAGCACACTAAGGAAGGGAAAAGTAGAGAAATCCATAGTTCCCTTTCATTTCAATTATTTCTTACATCCCTGTAAGCTGGATATAGGATTTTTAGAATATATGTATGTTAGAAGTGAAATAAAAATCTTTGAACAGGATTTCTACTATTCCAGCAAAAACAAAACATATGCTTGCACAAGATTAAAAAATGCTGATGATTGAGCTGTAAAGAACTTAATTCAACAAGCAAAAAAAACAAATAACCCCATTAAAATGTGGGCAAAAGACATAAAGAGACACTTCTTGAAATGAGACATACGACTGACCAACAAAAATATGAAGAAAATACTCAATATCAATGATCCTCAGAGAAATGTATATCAAAACCACCGTGAGATAGCATCTCACACTAGTAAGGATGGCTGTTATTAAAAAGTCAAAAAGCAGCAGATGCTGGTGAGGCTGTGGAGAAAAGGGAACATTCACACACTGTTGGTGGGAATGTAAATTAGTTCAGCCACTGTGAAAAGCAGTTTGGAGATTTCTCAGAGAACTTAAAACACAACTACCATTGGACCCAGCAGTCCCATTACTGGGAGTATATTTAAAAGAAAACCAATTGTTCTATCAAAAAGACATCTGTACTCCTATGTTTATTGCAGCGCTATTCATAATAGCAAAGACATGGAATCAACCTAGCTGCCCAGTGGTGGATTGGATAAGGAAAATGTGGTACATACACACCATGGAGTACTATGCAGCCACAAAAAGAATGCAATCATGTTCTTTGCAGCAACATGAATGCAGCTGAAAGCCATCATTCTTGCTTTTTAGTACAAGTTAAATTTGGATACTCATGGACATAAAGATGGGAACAATAGACACTGTGGACTACTGGTGGGAAGGAAGAGAGGAGGCAAGTGTTAAAAAACTAACTATTGGGGTACTGTGCTTGCTACCTGAGTGAAGGGATCATTCATATTTCAAACCTCAGCATTATGCAATATATCCATGTGGCAAAACCTGCATATGTACCCCCTGAATTTAAAATAAAAGTTGAAATTATTAAAATGAAAGAAAATGAAAAATACAAAATACTGGTTATTTTGCATATAAGTAAAATACTTTCATATTTGTAGTTAAAGGTGGTATTACATAATATGAAGATAAATAATATCCGTGCTACAAATCTAAAATTTTATTTTTTGAATTTAAAATGGCAGTTAATTTGTCATAATATTTTTAACTTTTTATTTTGTAATAATTGTAGGTTCGCATGCATTTGTAAGAAATAACACAGAGATCCTGTGTACGTTTTACTCAGCTTTCCTAATGATCACATTTTGCAAAAGTATAATGTAATATCAGAACCAGGATATTGACATTGTTACAGTCAAAATATTTTTTCTCACTTTTTTTTTCTGAGATTTTCTAAACCATGAATTCCATTGCATTAATAGTTATAGGGCTACTCAGATAACTTCACCTTATATCAAATGAGTTGTAGTAGTTTATATAATTTTGAGAAAGTGATCCAGTTTGTTTAAATTGTGTGAAAATTGATTATATGAATTGAAGTTATCTTATCATACCTAACTAAATTAGAGTCAAGAGACCGGGGTGGAGGGGAAAACACTCAGGATACAATTGCCTTCAGAGGGATTATGCTGCAAGCCAGCTGCTGAAATGATCTGTTATTACCGTAAGACCAGTTTTACTTGGTAACTGTTGAAATAAACTGCCATGACAACAATAAACCATAATAAAATGCCATGACTGTTACTCACTCATCAGAGCTTGCTAGCTCTCAAAAACTTCACTAGTGCCAATGAATTAATCATAAATCTGAATACATTTAACTCCCTTGTTTATATAGTATTCTGAAATGCTTTAAAGTGTCCCCAGGGTAAATAATTACTCCTATGTATTTCACCAGCATATCTAATATTTTCAACTCATACCTTATCTTTTACATTCTAGTGATACAGATACAAAAATACTTTTAAATTCCTCAGATTTGCCTTATTTTTTCTCACTGTCAATTTTTTTACATGACTTCGTTCTCTCTGATAAAATTCCCTTTTGGCTCTTCTCCTGGATATTTCATACTCAATCCTTTCTGGTCTAAGTGTCATCTAAAGTGATGGAAGGCACCAGGAAGTCTTCCTGTGTACTTTCAAAGTACTCTATCCCAGGTCGTTGCTGACTAAATTATAGTAGCCTGCTTAGCATTAAGTTAATCTCAATAGACTTTAAACTTAACGAAAGCGGGAAATTATATCTTATTTATTCTTCCAAATACGGGCCTAGACTGTAAGCATAGAAGATTCAGTAGGTACAATATATCTCAATAATGCATTCTATTATGAGCAAGTTGCAATTCTGGGTTTTTAATGATTTTTTAATACAAAAATTAGTTGTGCCCTGAATAGCTAAAAAATAAAAATACACTTTAATAAAATGTATTACCTGAAATATTTAGTTTGAGATAACAGAGCTGTCCTAATGACATATGTGGTCATTGCAACACTTTTCTTTCTGCCTCTAAAAGCATTTTATTTGAGCAAAATCAGTTAAGAAAATACACAATAGACAAACTGGAAGTGAGGAAAGTTCAAAAGTGCAGAAAGAAAAAGGCTTACGCTTACGTGTAAGGAACAAGATGGAGAGGGGCCAGGAGGAAGAGATGGGATACATTTAGAAATTATATAGATTTAGTTCAAATTAGAGACTTTGGAAAACATTACCTGCAAACCTGTCTACCTTGTGCTGTGCAGAGTCAAGTAATAGAGGCAAAACGTTGACCAAATCGATCAGTCATTTTAACTGGGTTTAATGGAGGGAGGACGTTCCTCATTAGAGTGGTCAATGATATCAATATTTCTTTAGGTGAACACTGTCTGAAGCTACAACATTCAGCTTCATATGGCCATGATTCTCTTCATTTTGATATTAATAGGCATGGCTTTTATTCAGATGTCACTAGTCATCATATGTAAGCTCTTTTGATATAAGGGTGTGTGTTTGTCGGGGGAGGCGCTGAATCTGAACTACTAATTTAAATAAGCCATTTTGATTGCGGAATCTCAAGTAAGAATGTTGGTACAAATCTGAAAAAGCCTTCAAATATTTAATACTAAATATAGATATTTTTTCTAATATTTGCCATTCAAGATCTCTGTATGTGCTATTTAACAGTGAGTGCTTCAGACAAATGGCCCCACTCATTGCCTTGGACCTTATCACTAAAATTGAAATAAACTGTGCTCTTAGATAAGTAAAAAGGTGTTAGAAATGAAATTGCATTTCTAAACTACAATCATATTGGTCATCAATACAGAGTTGATACTCAACAGTAAATGGAATGATATATTAGCACATATATTTTATCAGTAGTTTCAAATTAGGATGTCTAGAAGAGTTACAACAGGACAAGGACTATAATGTAGTCATTCTCTCCAGTCTTAACATTCGACTTCTTTTCTTTTTATGTACGTAGACTTCACTTATTTCCTACATGCCAATAAATATAATATTTAAATCTCTTGCTCTGCCCTATCTGCATTTTTTTCGTTAGTTTCTTAAAAGGGCTTTAGTAGGCCGGGCGCAGTGGTTCACGCCTGTAATCCCAGCACTTAGGGAAGGTGAGGTGGGTAGATCACGAGGTCAAGAGGTCGAGACCATCCTGGCCAATATGGTGAAACCCCATCTCTACTAAAAATACAAAAATTAGCTGGGTCCCGGTGACTTGGGAGGCTGAGGCAGGAGAATCGCTCGAACCTGGGAGGCAGAGGGTACAGTGAGCCAAGATGGAGCCACTGCACTCCAGCCTGGTGACAGAGTGAGACTCCGTCTCAAAAAAAAAAAAAAAAAAAAAAAAAAAAAAAAAAAAGGGCGGGGGGGGGCTTTAGAAATATATTTCATGTAAAAATGTTATTTTTTTAATTTTATTTGTCATAAACGAATTGTGGAAATTTTGGGAAATATTTTAACAGAATAAGGAAGAAAGAAAATACAGTATTAATAATATCTGTCAGTCTTTATGTATATATGCCTATTTGACACTGATACTGTTTTTTATTTACCATGGTTTTAAAAATTAAGTGCATACTAAGAATTTTTTCTCTTTTATTTATTTTTACCATCTAAATTTATTACTTTATTATAATTTTGATTGATACATAATAATTGCACATATTTATCAGGTACAGTGCAATGTTTCTATACCTGTATACAATGTGTAATAAACAAACCAGAGTAATTAGCATATCTAGCCCCTCTATTTATCATCTCTTTGTGTTGGGAACATTCAAAATTCTCTCTTCTAGATACTTAAAAATATGGAATAAATTACTGTGAACTATATTCATTGTACAGTGCTGTAGAACACTAGAACTGATTCCTCTTACTTAGCTGTATTCCTTAAGCAATCAACCTGTCTCTATCCCCCCGCTCCCTACCCATCCTAGCTTCTAGCTACCACTATTCTATTCTTACTTTCTACTTCTATGAGATCAAATTATTTAGTTTTCACATGTGAATGAGAATATGTGTTATTTCTCTTTTTGTACCTGGCTTATTTCACTTAGCATAATGTCTTTCAGGTTCATCCATATTGCCACAAATGGCAGTATTTCATTCATTTTTATGGCCAAATAGTCTTCCATTGTGAATATATACCACGTTTTCTTTGTCCATTCATCTGTTGATAGATGCTTACATTTATTCTGTATCTTGACTATTGTGACTAGTGCAGCAATATGGAAGTGCAGGTATTTCTTAGACATAATGATGTGCTTTTGTTCGGATATATACCTAGTTGTGGGATTGCTGGATCATATGGTAATTCTGTTTGTAGTTTTTTTTGTAGGGGGGAGTCTACAAACTGTTTTGCATAATGGCTGTACTGATTTGCATTCCGCCCACCAACACTGTATGAGAGTTCCCCTTTCTCTGCACCCTTACTAGCATTTGTTATTTTTTGTCTTTTTGATAGTAGCCATTTTAACTGGGTTACAGTGACATCTCATTATGGTTTTGATTTGCATTTCCCTGCTGATTAGCGATGTTGAGCATTTTTTCATATGTGTTGTCTATTTGTATGTCTTCTTTTGAGAAACGTCTATTCAGATAATTTGCCCATTTTAAATTGAATTATTTTATTTTTGCTGTTGACTTGAGTTCCTCTATATTCTGAATGTTAATCTCTTTTTAGAGGAATGATTTGCACATATTTTCTCGCATTCTATAAGTTATCTCTTCACTCTTCTGATATTTTTCCTTTGCTGTACAGATGCTTTTTAGTTTGATATAATATATGTCTATTTTTGCTTTTGTTGCCTATAATTTTGTGGTCTTATCCATAAAATCTTTGCCAGAATGAATGTCTTGAAGAATTTCCCTATGTTTTCTTTCAGTAGTTTCCGGTCCTACCCTTAGGTCTTTAATTCATTTTGAGTTAATTTTTGTATATGGTGAGAAATAGGGATTTAGTTTTTCTTTTTTTCGTATGGATATCCAGGTTGTACAGGACCATTTATTGAAGAGACTATGTTGTCCCCATTGTATGTTCTTGACACTGGTGTGAAAAATCAGTTAGCTATAAATATGAAGATTTATGTCTAAAATATCTATTATTTTCCATTGGTCATGTGTGTGTTTTTATGCCAGTTACCACACTGTTTGGTTTTCTTCCTATTAATAGTATGTTTTGTAGCTTTCTAGTGTATTTTGAAGTTAGATACTCTGAAGATTTCAGCTTTGTACTTTTTATTCAAGATTGCTTTGGCTATTCAGAATCTTTCGTGGCTCCATATCAATTTTAGGATTGTTTATTCTATATTTGCAAAGAATGTAATTCATATATTGATAAGAATTGTATGGAATATTTACATTGCTTTGGATAGTGTGCTCATTTTAACAATATTAATTCTTTTGATTCATGAGCATGGGATGTCTTTCCATTTGATTACATCCTCTTCATTTTCTTTCACTAGAGTTTTATAATTGTATCGAGAAGACTTGTCATCTGTTTGGTTATATTTATTTCTATTATTATTTTTTTTTTTGCTATTGTGAATGAGATTGCTTTCCTGATTTCTTTTTCAGCTAGTTTGTTATTGGTGTATAGAAATGCTACTGATTTTTTTGTACATTGATTTTTCTATCCTGTAACTTTACTGAATTTATCAGTTCTAAAAGATTTTTGGTAACGTTTTTAAGTTGTTCGATATACAAGATCACGTCATCTGAAAAGAGGGACAATTGGCCTTCTTCCTTTCCATTTTGGATGTCTTTTATTTCTTTCTCTTGGCTAATTGCTCTGGTCAGGGCTACCAGTACTGTGTTGAATAAAAGTGGTGAAAGTGAGCATTTTTGTCTTGTTCCAGTTATTTGAGAAAAGTTTTCAATTTTTCCCTATTCAGTATGATGTTGGCTGTGGGTTTGCTATATATGGTCTTTATTGTGTCTAGATATGTTTCTTCTAAATCTAATTCTTTGAGAGCTTTTATCATGCAGGAATGTTGAATTTTATCAAATGTTTCTTTCTGCATTTATTAAGATACTCACATGGTTTTTTCCTTTATTCTGTTGATGTGCTGTATTACATTTCTTCAATTGTGTATGTGTGATCAACCTTGCATCCCTGGATAAATTACACTGAAATACGGTGTATAATCTTTTTTATGTGCTGTTGGATTCAGTTTGCTGGTATTTTCTTAAGGATTTTTGCATCTATGTTAATCAGGGATATTGGCTTGTACTTTTCATTTTTGTTACGCCCTTGTCTGGTTTTGGTATCAGAGTGATGCTGGCTTCACAGAATGAAAAATTCTCTCCCCTTCAGTTTTATACAATAGTTTACAAATAATTGGTTGTATTTCTTTCTTTTCTTTCTTTTTTTGAGACCGAGGCTCACTCTGTCACTCAGGCTGGAGTGCAGTGGTGTGATGTTGGCTCACTTCAACCTCTGCCTCCGGTGTTCAAGTGATTCTCATGCCCCAGCCTCCTGAGTATCTGGGATTACAGGCACCTACCACCACACCTGGCTGATTTTTATATTAGCCAGACTGGTCTGGAACTCCTGGCTTCAAGTGATCCACCTGCTTTGGCCTCCTAATGTTGGAATTACAGGCCTGAGCCACGGCACCCGGCTGGTTTTAGTTCTTTAGTGTTTGGTAATATTCAGCAGTGAATCTATCTAGTCCCGGGCTTTTCTTTGTTGGGAGACTTTTTATTACTGCTTCAATCTTAGTAGTTATTGGTCTGTTTAGGTTTTTTATTTCTTCCTGCTTCATTCTTAGTAGCTTGTTTGTGTCAAGGAATTTATCCATTTTCTCTAGGTTTCTCGTCTGTTGGCTTACACTTTTTCATAATATAATTTAATGATATTTTGTATCTCTGTGTTATTAGTTGAAATGTCTCCTTTTTCATTTGTGATTTTATTTACTTGGATCTTCTTTCCTTTTTTAATTATTCTAGCTAACTATTTGTCAATTTTGTCTATCTTTTGAAAAACCCAGTTTTCATTTTGTTGATCTTTTGTGTTTTTTAGTCTCTATTTCATTTATTTCTGCAGTAATCTTTATTATTTCTTTCTTCTTACTAATTCTAGTTTTAAGTAAATATTTGTTAAGGTCATGATCTTTAATAGTTACATAACATTTTATCCTGTGGAATGATTTTTTTTTTTAGGAATTCCCCTATTGTTTGGCTCTTATGTTGATTCCATTCTTTAATAAGAAAAAGGTATCCACTTATATAAATATTTGTTGCCTGAATATTTTTAAAAATGCATTCTATGAAGTCCAATCACAGAGACAGACTACATATTTTAGGCCACTTAATACATTTTGCAAATCTGTGTCCTAAAGTTTATGGTGGTGTATATTATTATTTATATATGAGCTTGCCCAACTTACTACATCTTTCCCAGAAAAAAAACAGGCATAAATTTAATTTTGCTTAATGAAGAAGAAAAAGTACATTTTACATATTTGTCATACTTATTAAAAATGTATATTTTTTCCTGTGATTTTTCCGTGTATGTCCTGCAATAAAATTTCAATTAAGGTTTTCTAAATTAATCAATCCATTAACTTTTAATAAGATCCTTATATATTAATACAATTATCATGTGCAGAATTATCTACTGCCAACTAAATGCCATTTTCCCTCTTCTATGGGCTCCTCTATATACTGAGAGTTGAAAGCCTGGGAATTACATTTTCCAAAATGCTTGCCAGCATGTTTTTGGATTTGATTCTAGCAATATAAAGCATCTACACAAGACTTGGAAAGTGCAATAGAAAGAGAAACCATTGTTCCTTCTGCTGCAGTAGCATAATAGGAATATGGTCTGACAGATGATGTGTAAGAAATGTTACCAAATGTTTCTGAATATTCTTTTGCAAATTACCCATTTTGATTCTGTAAGCAACTAATATTAAAATTGATGATATTTTGCAATCCCTGCGCTTCCTGATTTCCTAAGTACTGCCAGTTCTGACTTTCACTTCCCTAGCCTCTCAAATTTTTTATTAAATCCTACCGTATCTGAATTAGATCTTAGCTTTATATTTCCCCACATGAAATCTTAGTGATATGTATTAATATTTATCTCAAATGTTTTCTAACTTATATTTTAACTTTTACATTTTGTTAATAATTTTAAGAAAGTTGTAGTATTTACATGTGTAAATACTTAACACATTTTTAATTTAATTTTTAAATTAAAAAATCTCAAAAAATGTTACCCATATAGTACAAAACTATATTTTTTTTAGCCTGAAGCATTTAAAATAAATTAGACAAACTGATGCTTCATTACCAATGAACACGTTGGCATACTTCTATAAGCAAAGACAATTTTCTAATATCCTTGTACATAGTATAACCATCAAAATCAGATAATGAACACTGATAGATTATGGGAACTAATTCTCAAAATTTATTTAATATTCACCAATTGTCCTCCAAAATGTCCTTTAAAGCAGAAGATTCTAGTCTATAAATGTATGTTACATTTACTTGATTATTCTTAAGTCTACTCAAATCTGAAATACTTCCTCAACTTTTTTTAACGCATGTGATTTTGATACTTTTGAAGATTGGAAGCCACTTATTTTATAGAAAGCCCCTCAGTTTCTGTTTGCTTGATGGTTCTTCATCAATAGATTATGCTTCTTTGGCAGGGATATCACAGAAGCATGAATGTGTTTTTTACCTATGCATTCTTACATTACATATAAGATACTATGTGGTTTCCATTCATTCCACCATTGGTGATAGTAACTTTAATCCTTTAATTAAGAGGTGTTGGCTAGACTCCTATGAATAAGATTTCTCTTTTTTCTCACTGTAATTTTGTGAAGGTACTTTGAAACTAGATATTAGTTTACTTCAAACTTTAAATTTCTCTTCAAACTTTAATTTTATTCACTTATTTATATTAGTATGTACTCACATATTCTTATTTTAATATTTGGGTTAAAAATCTTTATGCTCATTATTTATATCTCAAATTCCCCAAGATTTGGTTAATAGAAGCACTTTCAAGATATTTTGTGTATCTTTTGGGAGTGTGTCTGTGGTTTTTGAACACTCCCTTACTGTCTGGCATGAAAAAAGTAAGGTTAGTTTTATACTTCCTCTGTCCTGGAACTGGAATCAGTCATTTCTCTAAAGCAGCAGTCCTCAACCTTTTTGGCACCAAGGACGGGTTTTGTGGAAGACAATTTTTCCATGGGTAGGAGGTGGAGGGATGGTTTTGGGATTAAACTGTTCCACTTCAGATCATCAGGCATTAGTTAGTAGAGTCTCATGAGGAGCACACAACCCATGTCTCTTGCATGCATGGTTCACCACTGGGTTTGAGCTCCCATGAGAATCTAATACCACAGCTGATCTGACAGGAGGCAGATCTCAGGAGGTAATGCTTGGCTGACGCTTAACTCCTGCTGTGTGGCCCCACTTCTAACAGGACACAGACCAGTACCATTCTGTGGCTAGCGATTTGGGGACACCTGTTCTAAGGATGTTCTGGTTCATTTTGTCAATGAAATTTGGAAAACGAAAACTGCGAACTATATTTGTTTATTGTTATTAAGGTATGTTGTTCAAAATCCTCTCATATGATAGAGCTAGGATATTACTATCTCTATCTCATGTCTACCAATATCATGTCAGTTAAAAATCACATGTTCACAATATCTCCAAACCAATCAATACCATAAGATTTGTTCTAGGTTTTTCTCTTTCTATAAGTGTCTCTTTCTTCTCTAAAATGGAGAAACCTGCCTTCCATTAGCCTGAAGATATTTACTCAATTGGTTGTTTCAAATGTTACTAACACATTCCTAACCCTACTCCAGCTCAGATACGCTACCCAGGGCTTCCATAGCTTCCCTCATTTGGTTACCTTCCTCATTTTGCCTGGGCTTCAGTACCATATTCTAAGCCACGCACCATGCCCTCTTTATAATGGTTAGTCCTTTGACATTCAGTGCTTGGCCACACTCTCACTCCCATACATGGAAGCCTTATGGGCCCCAACATCCTGCACTCAACTATCCTCCTGAATCCCACTCTTCACCATGAAGTTTGACATGTGATGGACAAACACTCTCTATTCGGGTTCTGACATGACTTGCTGGATTACCACGGCTCCTCAACTTCCACCAGAGATATACATCTTGCTTAGTTAGGACCAAGTAATGTTTTATTCTTTCATTAATTTATTTTTAGACTGAATTTCTTTGGAATAGTAAGAGTATTACTTTATTTTCATTCTTGTCCATTTCAATATTAATTAGACACTCACAGTCTCTGTCTTTTAATTGGAGCATTTTGATCATTTACATTTAATATAATTATTGCCACGGTTTGGTTTAAATACAGCATCTTGCTATTTCTGTCACCCAGGCTGGAGTGCAGTGATGCGAACTTGGCTCACTGCAACCTCCATCTCCCGGGTTCACGCGACTCTTCTGCCTCAGTCTCCAAAGTAGCTGAGATTACAGGTGCCCACCACCATGCCTGGCTGATTTTTGTATTTTTAGTAGAGACAGGGTTTCTTCATGTTGGCCAGGCTGGTCTTGAATTCCTGACTTCAGGTGATCCACTTGCCTCAGCCTCCCAAAGTGCTGAGATTACAGGTGTGAGCCACTGCGCCTGGCCGGTATTTCTTGTCCTCCTGTTCTGTTTAACTTATTTCTCCCTCTTTCTACCTTTTTTTTGATTTATTGGTAAATTTATGTGTTTTTCTTTTTTCTTTCATGATTGTTTATTAGCTATAATTATTTGTGGTGTTATTGTAGTTGTTGTTTTAATGGTTATAGTATACATGTCTACCTTATCATAGTCTACCTTCCACAAATATAATACCATTTCACTTTTAGTATAAAAACCTTACATTTTCATCTTTTCTTTCCTGGCCTTTGTGGTGGTGTTGTCAAACGTTTTACTTCTACATGAGCTCCAAATCCAACAATATAGTGTTATTATTTTTACTTAAACAGTTAATTATCTTTTAAAAATTTTAAATAAGAAAGATATATTTTATGTAGTTATATTTCTGGCGCTCTTTATTCAATTGTGTAGATTATACTTTCATCTGTTATTAGTTACTCCTCCGGTAACACATTTCTTTTAGTTCAGACATACTGATGATGAAGTATTTTAGCTTCTGTATGTTCAGCTATTATTTCTTCAGCATTTAAAAATACATTTTGCTGGGTACAGAATTCTGGAATGATAGCATTTTTACTTCACTACATTAAAGTTACTCCTCAACTGATGTCTGATGTTCAGTTTTCTAATGAGAAGTCTGTTGTAATTTTTCATCTTTTTTTTCCTCTGAATATACTGTGCCTTTTTCTCTGGCTCTTTTTATCATTGGATTTAAGTAGTTGGTTAAGATATATTTTACTACAGTTTCCTTAATTTTGCTTGTGCTTGATTGAGATTTTTCGTGAACCAAAAATTTGGAAAAAATGGTCATTATTTTTTGCAAATGTATTTTCTGCTTTTCCTCTGTCTTTTATGCTTCAGGACTCAAATTACACCAGGACTCAAATTGTCCCACAGCTGATTTATGCTCAGTTAATGTTTTTCTCATCATTTTATTCTTCTCTGCTTCATTTTTGAATTGTTTATGTTGCCATCTCTTCTATCTTTTCTTATATAAGGTATAAATTACTATTATTAATCCCATCTAGTGTATTTTGCATTTGAGACACTGCTTTCAACTCTAGAAGTTTGAGTTAGGTCTTAGCACTTCTCTGCTGAACAAGTTCAATTTAGCTAATTCAACGTATGGAATAAAGTTTAATAACTATTGTGATAGCTTCATCTATTCTATTTTCTGTATTTTTCAGGGTCAGTTTAATTGATTAATTTTTTTCTTGCATATATTGTATTTTATTGTTTCTTTTCATATCTGGTAATTTATACTAGATACCAGATACTGCTAACTTTATCTTTTTGGGCGCTGGATATTTTTGTATTTCTACATATATTCTTGAGCAGTTAATTTATGTGAAAATAATTTGATCCTTTTGGTCTGGCTTTTAAGATTGTTTTAATCAGGACCAGAGGAGTTTTTGTTTACAGTTAATTTGACTTCACTTGTGAAGCAATTCACTTCTGAGTTACCTACCTATACACCCAATGTTTCATGAATTTTAAGTTCCCACTCTGGCTGATGGGAATAGGCATTATTCCTCTAATTCTTTTGGCTGTTTAATCTCTGGTTTCTGGTGGTAACATCATATGGCATGAACTGATCAGTATGAGTGAAGGCTTGAAGAAACCTGCATTTCTCCAGACAGCTTCTCCCCCTACTGTCTTCCCCCAACTCTCTGCAGCTTTATTTTCTGTGGCACTAACCCCTGCGAATTCTAGCCACCCTTTTCTCTTATGGAAGGAGCTATATTACTGGCTTCTTCTCCTCAGCTCAGGAAATCACAAGATTCTGCCCAGATTTTTCCTCATTGTACTATAGCCTTGAATATATCTCTTCCTGCCCTCCCCCTACCCTCCCCAGCTTTATTCTCTCTGGCACTAACTCTCTGGTGAAAATGCTAGCCACTCATTTCTCTTATGGAAGGAGCTACATTACCGGCTCCTTCTCCTAGAAGGAAATCACTAGATTCTGCCCAGATTCTTCCTCATTTTACTGTAGCCTTGAATATCTCTCCAGGCAATAAAGTGAAATAATCCTGAGATTCACCTACTTTACTTCTCATCTCTCAGAGATAAATATCTTTTATTACCTGATATATAGTATCATAACATACAGTTTTGTATTTTTATGTGTCTTTTATTTTGGTTGTTTTGGGAAGAATAGTAAATCAAGTTCCTGTTTCTCCACATTGGCTAGAAGTAGAATTATTTTACTCTTTTAAATATTTGACTGTACAATATGCTGAAAATCCTAAAATCCTTCTACACTATGTGACTGGATATAGACTTTTTTCCTATAATCATTTGAGAGCCAATCAAAAACCTTTCTAAAAATGTTCAGATTTATACTGTCAGAAATGAAAAGCTTTTGGTACTGCCTCACGAGGATTTGAGGATGAAAGATAGAGGTTGTGAAACAAATTAGGGATTTGTCATTTCTTCATAATGTATATGATTGCACAATATTGTATAATCTAAATTTACATACTTTTGAGTATGTTTAATAAAAGTGGGAATAGAAAAACTAGAAAGGATAATATTTGAAGTTGATTTTTTAAGGTTACATAAAATTGCCATGGCATGGTGACTGTATTCGTCTGAGTTTCCCTGTATGCCAAGATTTAGTCATAAACTTATGAAGAAAGAGATTTCTGGAAGGTGATTAATCTATCCTCCCTTATTCTCTCTTTTCCTCAACAATTGCCTTATTTCTTTCTTACATTTTCAAATATAGAACATCTTCAGAGTGCTAGAAGAATATACCCAGGTTACATACTTGAATCTCATGTTCAAAGTTGGAATTGTGTCTGCAGACTAAGACAGGTGGTGCTGATTCTCAGTTTGAAGATGCATTGTGTTAAAGTAATTTGAAAATCTGATTCAAATAAATAATATTATGGGTTTTCTTCTTTTGAGTTAGGATGGTAAGTGGCTAAGAGTGTAAATCTTGGAGTAATTATGCCTAAATTTTAAACAAAGCTCTTTTGTATTTGCTATGTGAATTCAGACCTGCTACATAATTCCTCTTTGTTTCATTTTCCTTGTTTGACATCATTATCTATCTCATGGAATGGTTGTGAAGATTAAATGATTTAATACATCTGGAACATTTAGAAAAATACTTACATAGTATGTAAGAATGTTTGGCTACTCTCATTTTGTTAGTTGCAAAGTAGTTAATTTTTCCTAGATAAACCTATCAGCATTTTAATATTACCACAATTATTTTATTGCCATCTGCTAATTACGTAATTACCTTACATCTATATAGAGAAAGATCATTATCATAATAACTATTCAACAGTAATCCCAGGAAGTCTTTGTAATTAACAGAGATGGAGCCAAGTTCTTTTCAAGTAATATATGCTCTCATCTGACCCTTTATAACTTTGGGAAGTATTATTCATGAAATAGTATTCACATGAAGTCTATTCAATAATCACAATCACTTCATTAAGCACATTGTAGAAGAAGAAAAGCCTGTATTTTCTTCTTAAATATTTACATGAATTTTATTAAAAATAACGAAAAGATTGTAGTTGAGTCTTCTTGTTTAGGACTATATAAGAAATGATTTCTGTGTAGTGTGTCGAGGCTAACTGAAATGCAAATGTCTGAAGGTCTAGGTATGACCACGATTCTGAAATAATGATGTTCAATGACCCAGCTGTCTCCTGAGGTCTGTTATAGTGTTTTCCGAAGTGTCTCTCTGGCATTGTTGAATCTATAACTAGTAACTGGAAAAAACATATTTCCTATGTCTCCAATACACACAAAGAAAAAATTAAGATATGCCATGAGGAATTTATTGCTTTAGAAATCTGCTCATCAAAATAAAAATTAGTCATTCAGAAACAATAAAAACTTAAGTCTTTTAATGCATGTTCTTAGAGAAAAGGAACTGAAACACTAACCTCTAAAACAGAGTAATTCAACATTTTGTGGGTATTCTAATGTTATGCAAACATGTTGACAACAATCAATTTAAATTGTAGAGAGTAATGGTGACCAAATTTTCTTGGATAATTTAACACAGGAACATTACACTCAGATAGTTTTATTTTAATCTACATTTTTAATCACTATTTATGAATCTTTCAAAGCATATCCTTTGACATTTGGCCTAATCCTTATTTCCTATTAGCATGTTCTTTTAGTTTTACTGTTCAACAGACATTGGCATATGTTTTTATTGATACATTGTTTTCATGCACGACAATATTAAATAATCAAATGTGTTTTGTGACCTTGTTCAGAAATTCTAATGTTAACTATGTAGATTCTCAGTCATGGCATATTGCTGGTGCCCAGATTTCTTAGCACATATAATCCTTTAATTAGATATTGTGTTTTGATGTTAATATCCATTACTTATCTTAGTATGGCAAAACCTTTGTAAGTGTACAAGCAAAGGCAAAATTAAATAGGAAAATGCATACTATTTCACTAAAGAAAATTATA
This sequence comes from Homo sapiens, assembly GCF_000001405.40. Classification (NCBI taxonomy): domain Eukaryota; kingdom Metazoa; phylum Chordata; class Mammalia; order Primates; family Hominidae; genus Homo; species Homo sapiens. The sequence continues at coordinate 143,308 of NW_025791791.1, forward strand.
AAATTTCAAAGTTCAGAAAATGTCATAAACCATATTAAAAGGATAAAGACAAATAGCAATAACGTATTTATTTCAGATATTATGTTGAAGAAAATGATGCAGCTTAAAACTAAAGAACTTTAATAAACCAATAAAAATAAAACTCCAATAATTTTGAAGTGTCTTAAAAGTAAATGTGGAATTTCAGAAAAATAAACATTTTCAATTAATGTAAAGAGTTCAAATTAATTTTAGATCAGTAGTGCTTTTATTAGTAACAACAAAATTATGTCTACTATTTATTAAGCATTTACCATGTGCCAAGCACTGAGCTAAATTAAACCATTTAAACATGATAGCAAATGTAGGAGATAAGTATTATTATTATTATAAAAGTATTATTTTAAAAGTATATAAAAATATTATTATTATTATAAAACCTGCTTTTCAGATGAGGAAATGGGGAAATAAAAAGGGAAGTTATGTTGTCGAAATTTACTTAGTGGTAGAGTTGAATCACAAGTTTATGACTGACAAATTCCTATACACATGTTCTTAAGCCACTGCACTAAGAAAATATGATTTAACTCATAAGATATCTTAAAAATATGTCTGGCAAATTGGCAAAGAATAAAGAATTGATTGTGTTCAAAATTGGCAAAAATATTTTAAAACAGACTTTTCTTTTACATTGTCAGCTGGAATTGTAAAGTGGTAGAGACTTTTGAAGATCAGTTTAAAGAAAATATATTAAAAATATTAATGGGTGATTTCAATGGCTAAATAACTTTGAATCATTTATACTCTGAGACATAACCAGACATTGGCAAAGGTTAATCTAGAATTATATTTATTTTAGCATTGTTTATTCAATAGAAACATTAAAAATAAAATAAACTTTAATAATTGAAAATTCATTAAGTACAGCGTTACGGGATAGCTGTATAATTAATACTAATAATTTATTCAAATTACTGTTTTAGAAAAAATTATTTAACCTCATGACAAAAGTTTCAATATGCTTTTAAAAGGAAAAAAATTCCCAAGTGTAAACTGAACTATACACCCATACACTCGTAAAACATATATTTGCTAAAGAAACTGGAAGGCTACACCTTCAAAGCTAATTGTGGTTATCTATGAATGATGTAATTATGAATAAGTTTTGCTTTTCTTTCTGTTACTTTCTGCATTTGCTAAGTTTCAAACTTGTTAATTTTTTTTTCAGTTCATAAGCTGTATTAGCTAAGATTCATTTAAATCATTATCCTAGTATATACAATTTTAAATTGCATCTCTTCATTTACATCAAGTTAATTACCAGGATACAGAAAAATTTTACTCGTCTTCATAACTTAATCCTTTTTTTAAAATTCAAGTTTCAAAATATTACAAAAGTTTTAATGGCGTTAGTGTTAATAAACCAGGATTCTAAGACATTACATCTCATAGGTCTCTGAAAGAAAATTGAGGCTTTCTATTGCATGTGCGTGTGTCTCCAATTTAGTATGTGAGGATGAATTCCTAGATAATAAAGATATAGGAATTTCTAAGCTTTGCCATGTTATCTATCAGTAAATGAAAATCATTTCCACTAAATAAATCGATTTCCTCAAACTTCTAGTTGTTTAGCTCTTACCCCGAAATCTTCTTGTGTCCTTTCTTCCTTGAAGTATTCCTGGGGTGTAGTCAGTGGTTTATAACAAAGAAATGGACTTTGTTTAAATAATACAGTAATATTTTCTCATTTATTTTGAGAACTTATAGTAGATGTTTCAAATGATCTGAGAATTTCTGAGAGTATTTGCAGAATCACTGCTTTTGCATATTCAGAATCACTGCTTTTGAATAATTATTATAATGCTGACCAGGAGATGCTGCTAAGAGGAGGAGTTCAAATTATTGACTAATAAGTTGTGTTTTTCTTTCTTTCTGTTTCAATTTCAGTGAATCAGAAGAGCAATCTTTTTTTTTTTTTTTCCAAGTTGGCTTCATCCCTGGGATTCAAGGCTGGTTCAACATGTGTAAATCAATAAACGTAATTCATCACATAAACAGAACTAATGACAAAAGCCACATGATTATCTCAATAGATGCAGAAAAAGCTTTTGACGAAATTCAATATCCCTTCATTTTAAAAACTCTCAATAAACTAGGCATTGATGGAATATATCTCAAAATAATGAGACCCATTTATGACAAACCCACAGACAATATCACACTGAACGGACAAAGGTTGGAAGCATTCCCTTTGAAAACCAGCACAAGACAAAGATACCCTCTTTCTCCACTCCTATTCGACATAGTATTGGAAGTTCTGGCCAGGGCAATCAGGCAAGAGAAATAAATAAAGAGTATTCAAATAGGGAATCAAATGGTCTCTGTTTGCAGACAACATGATCCTACATCTAGAAAACCCCATCTACTCAGCCCAAAAGCTCCTCAAGCTGATAAGCAAATTGAGCAAAGTCTCAGGATACAAAAATCAATGTGCAAAAATCACAAGCATTCCTATACACCAACGATAGACAAGCAGAGAGCCAAATCATGAATGAACTCTCATTCACAATTGCTACAAAGAGAATAAAATACCTAAGAATACAGCTAACAAGGGACGTGAACGACCTTTTCAAGGAGAACTACAAACCACTGCTCAAGGAAATAAGAGAGGGCACAAACAAATGGAAAAATATTCCATGCTCATGGATAGGAAAAATCAATATCATGAAAATGGCCATACTGCCCAAAGAAATGATATTCCCATTAAACTACTATTGACATTATTCACAGAATTAGAAAAAATTACTTTAAATTGTATATGGAATCAAAAAAGAGCCTGTCTAACTAAGACAATCCTAAGTAAAAAGAACAAAGCTGGAGACCTCATGCTACATGACTTTAAACTATACTACAAGTCTACAGTAAACAAAATAGCATGGTAATGGTACCAAAACAGACACATAAACCAATGGAACAGAATAGAGATCTCAGAAATAAGATAGCACAGCTACAACCACCTGATCTTTGACAAACCTGACAAAAACAAGCAGTATGAAAAGGATTCCCTATTTAATAAATGGTGTTGGGAAAACTGCTTAGCCGTATGCAAATTTTTTTTTTTTTTTTTTTTTGAGACAGAGTCTCACCTGTCACCTAGGCTGGAGTGCAGTGGCATGATTTCAGCTCACTGCAATCTCTGCCTCCTGGGTTCAAGCGATTCTTGTGCCTCAGCCTCCCAAGTAGCTGGGGTTACAGGCTCCCACCACCACACCCAGCTAATTTTTTCTTTTTTTGTATTTTTACTAGAGATGGGATTATGCCACGTTGGCCAGGCTGGTCTCTAACTCCTAACGTCAAGTGATCCACCTGTCTTGGCCTCCCAAAGTGCTGGGATTACAGGCCTGAGCCATGGCACCCAGCCTAGGGCAATCTCATACTATGTGTAAAGAGGAAAGACTTCCCTTGGCTCTAAAATAATCTAATATTTTGTGACACTTCCTTAATCCAGCTGTGTTTGGAGCAAACATTCTAACTGTAGAATTTGGTTCATCTGTAAAACAGAGCCTAATGTCTGATTGGAGACATAGGTAGTCTGAGATGACAGATGGAAAATATAGCAGTGTTCTTTTCTGATGATCGTTTCATAGATATTTTGTGGATCTGACCCTATTTTTTTTAAGTTTGCTTTGCTTACCTTTGTTTTGTTCTTAGAGATGTATCCTCATTACATTTCCTACATATCCCTGAAGGTTTTATATAAGTTGCTGTATTTCCTGTGTTTTAAAAGTTTTTTAATTTTTCTATTCTTTTGGAAAATGTGGCATTTAAGAGCATCCTTTGTTATAATACATTTGGATAGCATTATTCTTAAAACACCTCCCTACTTATTGGATGATTCGATTCTAACAACAATGTGAGGTAAATAGTGTAAATATAATCGTAGCTATTCAATTTCAGGAAAGTTTTAAAAACCTAGGTGAGAGTATACAGTTTGGCAAAGGATGCAGTAAAAGACCTCTTTTGTGAGTAGGTCAGATAGATAGCTGTTTTATGGTGCTGTTGGAGGAACATTATCTTGAGGTTTTGCTCCAAGGTCTGTCTCTGTCTCTCACAAAGATGATCTTCCAGTTGTCCCTATAAAAATTATGTCTACATTTACATAATGGGTGAAAAAAGACTGGTCATTATGTCCTTGTGTATTTTTTAAGTGAATACATGATTGAGAAAGAAGAATACATTAGTTTAGACAACATAAATTGACAATTTATGTCCTGATTCCAAAAAAAGGAGAGAAATGCTTATGGCTAGAGATGTGCTATAGATCCATTGGTGTTTCTTCCCACTTTTTACCCGGGACTAAGATTTCTCTGCAAGGGCATACTACCTTCCAGTGAAAATTCCGTTCTAACATGACACATGCCACAGAGAGTAAAAACCTTTGATTATGCCTATTTTGAGCATCTATAGCAGCTATTTTATTCAATATTAAGCCCCACAGTCAATCATGTATACTAAAAGTGAAGCCTATGTAACTCATTGAGATACAGTGAGAACCAACGCATTGTAAGCTACCAGAGCAACTAAACAACTAAATGACTGTCATTTTTGTATGGCTCTATGACATGAAATTTATATTTTACTTTAATATAGAGGCAATCTGGGTACTTTGCAATTCTTAAAAACTTATGATAACAGAGAAAGGAAGACTTTTTTTGAAATCTCCAGTTTAAAGGTGGAGGCATACAGATTTCAGAGGATAAAAAAGAACATGTTCAAGAAAATACTGGCAGGAATTTCATATTAGAACAGGAACAAGGATGAGACTAAGAAGGAGGTCATCTGATGGGCAGCCAATTAAATTGAGATTCTGTTTAATTCAGTAAGTAGAGCCCTTATTTTTTTCTAAGTCAAAATTTTATGAAATCATTAAAAACACTGTGCAAATTATCAAGAAAACTATAGTCTATTTTATCAGACAATCTGACTCTATTGACTAATCCTTACTGAGTTTTTATTTTACATCTACATTAGGGGATTGCAGCACATGCAGCAAAACATCACAGGAGTTTAATGTAGGTCCCTGCCATTTTGTAATATCTTGGTAGGTTATTGGTTAGTTAAAATCGTCTGAAAAAGTGGACATTCTGAGGTTTTTGTTGTTGTTGTTGTTGTTGTTTTAATGGCTAAAGATATGAGTCCCAAAAGGATATAAGATTTAGGGTAGAAAATCACTACAGGTTGAAGCAGTAAATTCAGGCTTCCTCTTATCCTTTATGGCAGTTCTTAAAGGGTAAAAGGACAGAGCCACAAGGATTGATTGGCTGGGAGATCTTTAATGTAAGAAAGATCTTTAATGTAAGAAAGAGCTATGTTTGAGGTAATGTAATCACTCACTTAAATTTTGCCTGAACCTCATTTCATGCAGCATATATCAATATTTATAATTTACTATCTCAATAAATAGCCTTATAGTTTTTTAAACAATTTTTAAGAGTATCTCAGTAAGGGCAAGCCTTTACTATTGCAAAGTTGATATAATATTACCAAATAATATTAAATAAAAACTAAACCCATAATCCCAACAATCCTAATATCAGAGTTATACTGTAAAAAATGTATATTATCTTTTAATATCTCCATGTAGATTTTTCTATTTTTTAGGAAATTTGTATTTTTTTCTCAATTTTTGATGTCAAGAAAAAATTAGTTGAGAAATCAGGACAATGATTATTCTGCGAGCATTAAAGCTTGAATATTAACAGAGACTTAACTGGTTTGGAGGAAGCAAAGCTGACATGCAAGGTCTAAGGTTAAAGTGACCATTTTCGTGAGTTGGCAGGAGAGAAATGATCATGATTTCCTCAGTCTTACCTGTAGCTCTTGCCATGTTATAAGCAGATGTTTATGGTCCTATCTTCAGCTAATGAGTAATTCTTGCACATAAGGTGACCAAAAATGCAAGTTTAGGAAACAAAATAAGACCTTAATATAGCGAGTTAAACACGTGATACTGTGTTAGAGCCGTTTAACTTGCTTAGATGATCCTAATGTTACATTATGCAAATACTGCCCAATAAGGATTACTGGTGATTTCCAGTATTTAAATATTCACCCTACACTACAGGTCCTTGTAAATACCACTACACTCAAAATTTTGTATTTATTAGACATTGAAAAAAGATATTCATAACAATTTGTAAAGAATCTGAGAAATCTTGGGCGTATTTTCAGAATAACATGGTTGCAGAAATTCCCAATTTCTGTCTAATTTCTTGTTCCCAGTCCTGAAGATTGGTATCTGGAGGGATGGAGAACATTTAGAAACACTACATCTTTGATTCTTAGTTCACAGGAAACACTGTAAATAACAAGAATTTAAAAGTTTGTTTCTGACAGAGTTTCTATCTATATTTTCCTCTGCATCGTGGTATTATTCTTGGAACATAATATTTGTCTCTGACTCATTTGAGTTAATTTTTGTGACTTAGCGAACTCCTTGTCTGTTTCTACAGACTTCCAAATATGAAGGTGGATTAATTTTTAGTTTTATTGCTTTTTACATATTGTTCCAATGCCCATATATTGCCACAATCAACTTCTATTCTATGAGATTCAATTACCGAAAGCAATGTGAAGATCGGAGGAATAATTTAATTTACTATGGGAGATTTAAGTTTTAATCCAAATATTTCAAGGCCATTTATTTTCAATGTATGTCTTTTAATGGTCTATTTGGAGATTTCAGCATTCTCAATTCATACATTATAAGAAGTAGATTTAGGAAATGGCCAGAAGAAAACTTGAAGGATCCTAACAAGGAAGATGCATTTTGTTAAGTACAAAAAAGATTTATTACTCAAATCAGGCTACATTTAATATCCTTGCTTATCTTGTGGAAATTGACACAACACATTTTTCCATATTTTATTCTTCAAACTCCCTGAAGCAATCTATTTTCAGATGAAGGTGAAGGAGGAATAATGCTGTCTTCAGCATCACTGTGATTTCAAACCTAAAATTATATTTGCCGTGAATTCTAGACACATTTGTAACTAATAAGATGCTTAATTTAATAATTTTCTCTGATTCCATGGTGACACATTCAATGAATACTGGGAAATTTAAAAAATTGCAGGTCTCAGGTGACATAAAATGATAATTAAATGTGTATACTTATTTTTTATGTTTCTTAAAAGATTTTGGGGTTTGACCTGATTAAAAACAGTGGAAAAATGAGAACCACTTGTACTATAATTTAATAAAATATCCTAAAAAAATGATTCAGCAGGTCAACATGACTGGTTGACTTATCAAATCACATGACTATTTCCACATGATTGACATGTTGCTTTCCATCTACTTAAAACTAATAAGTTGAGTAAAGTTATTAGTAAAACAAAAAACTATTTGCCACATATGTTGTACAAAGTAGAGCACATGAACCTCTATAAAATAAGGCTTTAGTGTTTGTTAGAAATTCACAGGGTAAGGAACCGGGTGCAGATAGAGGTTAGCCAGTTGCTCAGTCTGCCACTGGAAGGAGGTGGAGATCAAAGCTATGGTGCCATTTATCTCAAACATCCACATGTAATTCCTGACATAGGGGTAAATGCAAACTCACCTGTTTCTTGCTGAAGGAGATAAGCACACCAGAAACAACAGCACTGCCAAGCAGAGCTGAACATTTTATTTGAAAATGTGTACAATGTGCAAGAACTGACTTCGTGGTGCATTTACGGACCCAACCATCAAACTCAAAACTAGTCATGTAAGAGTATCCCAAGGTCAGCAAGAACAATCAGAGGAAAAAGTGAACTCAAAGAGTGGATTTTATAGGGCTGTTCATTGTGAATAGTGATTTATTTTATTTTCTAAATTTTAAAATGTAGTCCCGAGAGGCAGTACAGGAGAAATGTTAAAAGACAGCATTACAAATAAGCTAAAACATTAGGTGTGTATAGAAAAGTAATCTTTGTCAATTGCTCCCAAGGTGCCTTGGACTGTCCAAAAAACTAGCTACGTGCTCATTCCACTTGCCCACACAGGCAAGTCTTCAGTGCACCTTGCAGTTTATTCCTTTCATGATACTCAAGTCTGAACTAACCCCTTTACTTAGCTAAGACATGGTTACGCTATATCTCTAGCCCTCCACACCACTCTCTTAGAATTTCCAAAGTGAGCGTTCTCATATTTAAAAACTGAATCTTGGTTTCTACGTGATTCTAAGATTATGAAAACATACTCCTCTCTCCCTGGCCATGCTACTATTTTCCTCAGTGTTTAGGAGTTTGGGCTGGTGATCTTGGCCAAATTATCCAATTTTTCTGTTCCTGAGTTTCCTCATTTATTATTTTAAATTTTATTTATTTAAATTTATTTTATTTACTTATAGCCACATCTTTCTGATGCCTCATTTATAAAATCAGGGTAATACAACATATTTATTTGGTTATTATGAAAATTTATCAAGATAAATTTTGCAAAATATTTGTAATAATATCTAGCTCATAGTAAATTCTTAATACATACTTAACAGTTACTGTTGTGTTGTGGCTGCTGTTGTTATTGTCCCCAAATAATGGATGTGTGTTAACAGTGGTAGAGTGGAGATAAGACATTGTACTGTAAATTCACTGAGAACTTAAATGTAGTTATTTATCTCTATATACCTTTTCATTAAGCATTGTTTTACACAAGCCATGGGTTCTCAATAAGTATTTTTTTAACAGAGTAAAACTTTGCTGTTGAACCTAAAAATATAATTCAGATGGCAGGCATTTTAGGCCAGTCCAGAAAAAGAGAATGTTAATAGATTCAAGATTAGAATATATAAAGCGGTGGCCAAGATGTGTAACTCAGTGTGAGTCATAAACTATTCAGCAGCTCTGGCAAGTTGATGGGCAAATCTGGAATCTGCAATTCTACCTGCTATTAAAACTTGATTTTTATGCCATGCTAGACTATGTAGTTCCCACTAAGGTGGAGGAAGTGGGGTTGAAAGGGTGATGACAATACTCAAGTAGCTTAAAAAGTTTCAAATTAAAGGCAGTGAAATGTTTATGATGGAATATGCTCAAGGTTGTTTTTCTCATGTTTCTGGATATCGGGTTATCTTTTACTGTCAGTGGTAGAGGCTAAGATGCACACTTTCTCATCTCCATGGCCAGGAATGAGTAGTCTCTCTTTTTTGTGGATAAGAAATTGCTACTGATTCTAGAAGAAAGCCTCCAGGCAAGTTTGTCTTCTCCTCTACACTACAGACAATATCTAGGCAGAAAACCGCACTCGCTGAATTGATATGCCTGGTCCACCAGATGCTAGGCCATCCAAAGGGTATCAGATCAACTGTCAGAAGTGAGGAGCTAATATTTAAGCAATGCATCTGCTTGTAATACCTGACTCTCTCACTTCTGCTTGTGCGATCTTGGTAATGTTATCTTTCTGGGCAAAACTTTGCTCATTTATAAAATGGGAATAATAATTATGTCTATTCTATCAGATTGTTATGAAGATTAAATAAGTAAGTCTTGTAAAATATTAAAATAGTGGTTGGCCTGTATCAGCACTCATTCAGTAATGGCAAATAGAATTAGCTTTTAATCTCCTCCAGAAAAATTACTTGCTGGTAATTTGATTGTTAAATATTGTAAATCATACAATTAGGAAGGTCTTTTACTTTATTCACACTTTTGCATTACTAGTCACCTAATCTTATATCAACACCCTAATTTAGCACTGAATAAAATCAGGCCTTCTATTTTTTATTTGCAGCTAAGTTTGAGAAACTGTGCCTGGAGAGGGGATAGAGCAGTTTTCAGTTTCTTCCACATCTCCTATCTCCCCTAAAATAAATATCTTGGGCAACTCACCCAGCCCAATTAAAAAGGAGGATTTCGTGTTACAGATGGCCCTTTATTAATTATGATCTACCATAATTTACTTTTAATAACTCAAGATAATCATAGAAACGTAGATTCACAAAGCTGAACAGGGCTTTATGTTCATCTAGTTCAGAATTCACATTTTACACTTAAGTAAATCTGTCTTCATTTGGACTCCTTACTTAAACCACTTGCTTCCCCTTTACTTTGAGGGAGAGAGTTTGACATGGGCATCCTGCTTCTTAGCCATTGCTTGCCTGCCTGTGCTTCCATTTACTTATCCAGAGAGTGACAGTGTTACAAGCAATTCAGGATGAGGACGTTAATGAGCACACTTTGCCAAATGCATGGTGCTTCACCTAACTCAACTTAGCCATTGTATAATCTTCAAGTCCATAGGCACATTTTAGCAACATAAATCAAGGTGAAACATGTTTGTTTCCAAAAAACAATACTATTCATGTAAATATTAATCTCTCATTGATCTTGAATTCCCTGGAATTTATTAATTTGTGACCTAGCCTGAAAGTTCCCTGAATTTTACATTTCCTTATCAATACCTACATCTATATATAATTGCTGTTTGCTATCTGAATAATTGGGCCTCACACATTACAATGTGGAGGGTTTTCAGTTCAGATTTGGTGTAACATAATGAAGAAAAAAATGACTAGGCATATCATGCATGTAATCCTCAAATAGATGACAAAAATCCAATTCAGTGTAGAGTAACTGCACACACCAGCATTAACAGAAGTCCCTAGTACATACAAGACAGGCCTCTAGCCAGAGGAAATGTAGTGGCCCAGATAGTGAAAATGACAACTTTGGCCTGAGGTAAACAGGCAGCATACTGTTACATTCTAGACACAAGGCAAGCAGCTATCGAGAACTGCAGCGTTTTTCTAAAGTGTATTCATGCAGTTTTAGGATATCATGACTTTTCAGAAGGAGGGTAATGCATTCTGATACCACCATCTTAGAAAAGATAAGAGATTACGGCTTTACGTGCCTAGAAAATAGGAAAGGAAGATGTTATTATTGTCTTAAATATTGAACACAGTGTATTTTCACATTGTCAAAAAATAAAATATGCATATTTTGTGTGCATACAACACACTTTCTAATAGCAACTGAACACATCAGGTATTATTTAAAAACTTCCTCTAATTTGCAATAATAGGCGATAATGGGATTTTCAAGATTAATATGCTAAACCATTGAAATGATGAAGCAGAGCATACATATCCCCTTGTAGTGGTTATTTAGAGATAGAAAACAAATGAATATTACTTTTTTTTACTGTATATATAAAAGGTTTATTTTCTGGCACTGATTCTTCTTGCTAAAATACTGTTTAAATAAATCAATGTGTAGGGATAATGGCTACCATCCAAAGACCACTATATTAACATTTATATTAAGAATACAAATGATACAAGATAATTAGGTAGTTTCATTTTGATATGTGAATGGCCTTGCAATGCTTTGTAAAACACAGACAGACATTACTACTGCGTTTTTATAAATCACAGATGCAGAATAATACATTTTTTTCTAAACTACAGGGCATGTACTCTTTTTATAAGATAATATTTAATTATTTTTCATTGAAAAATAAAAATTGTACATATTTACCATGTACAACATATGGTTTTGAAATATGCATGCATTGTGGAATGCTAAACTGAGATAATTTACATATGCATTACCTTATATACTTATCTTTGTGTGTGTGTGTGGTGAGCTCACTTAAAACCTACTCTCTTAGCAATTTTCAAGAATACAATACATTGCTACTAACTATAGCCATTATGTTGTATATCTATTGAACGTATTCTTCCTGTCTTAACTGAAGGTTTATATTATTTCGCCAGCATCTCTCCAACACCATAATCCCACCCCACCATTCTACTCTCTGCTTCTATGAGGTCGACTTTTTAAAAATCCACATATAAGTGAAATTATATGACATTAGTCATCCTGTGCTTGGCTTCTTTCACTTATTCAAATTTCCTAATGAAATAGCTGCACTATTGTTCTTTGAATTATAGTCTTTGTTGATGTCACTGTGCAATACTACAAAGAATTGTTATGAATAAATGGGTTGTTATGAAATAGTTCAGTGGAACACTGAACTGGGTTCAGTTCAGAGAAAGAGGTTGTTACGAATCTTTCACTGACTCCTTAATTCTCAAGTCTTTATGAGAAGTAGCTCTCAGCTATAGCTGCCAACCATATTAGTATAATCTGGAAAAAAAATTCTTTAAATACCTACAACCCAATCTCACTTAATGTTCATTTCTCAGAATATTAGAAAACAAAAGATACAAAAAATAAGATCTGAGTTAAAACCTCAATATATTACTAATACCAAGGATAAGTCACTTAATATTTTAAGCAAAACATTAATCTGTAAAATGGGTTTCCTAACTTGCCAAATGCTAACTTCTTATAGGGATAGGTTTATGTGAGGATTAAATGAGGTAAGGGATGTGACAGAACTTGAAAAAGCACAAATTGCTATGCAAGTGTAAGGTCTTATTATTGTAATTAAAATTAACGTAAGAAATTGAATGACTACTAAGCCAGTCCTTATGTGCTTCTAAAAAAAATCTGGGCAATTTATCAACATATCTAAAGTAAGTATTAATAAGCAGAGGGTGTATGTAGAATGACTGAAGAAAAGATCAGAATTTAGGGAAACAATGCTATTTGAATGGAGACTGTATATGTGTGGGTGGGGGAGCACTTCTCAGCAGAAAACTGCATTGCCCCATACAGGAAAGTCTTCCAAGCATTACTTAATTCTAGCTTTTTATTGACTGAGCTAATTTTCAACTCTATAAGTGGTAGGTCTCTAGTAGACCTTTGAATTATGTCTTGCATAGTAGAGGTTCAACACACTTCCTTTCCAGTCTGTATTAAGACCAGTTTTGCCACCCTTTACATATTTCTTTCAACATTCCTGATCTATAAATGTGCCTGCTTATACAGTCCTCTTTGAACCAGTTATAACATGTGTCTGGCAACCACATTAAATGAGTAGATATTAAAATGTGTTTATTTTAAATCTGTATGAGAGTTACAATTTTTTCCTTTTCTGAAAATTATATTTTAACAGCACCAAGGAAGAAATGTCAGCGAAAGAGAGGGCAGTCAATTATCATATGAACAAGCAAAACTACAAAGAAAAAGACATGTCCCTGAGAACAAAGGAGAAAAACGATTTGGAGAAATAGCTCAGGGGTGTCTGGTAAATTGAAAGAGGTTAAGAATGTATTGCATTTAGCAACCAAGTAACCATTGGTATCTTTACAAGAGTATTTTATAACATATTGAGGTTAAGTACAATGCAGACTTTAGATGAGCAGGTGAGAAGTGGCAAAGGAAAGCATCAAAGCAAGCCTACCTTTTCTTTAACTTTTCTTTTTCTGAAACTTACTCTTCTGTATCTGTAAAAATAATAAATGCTCACTGTAAAAAAATACAAAAAAGTAAAAAAAGAATGCAAAGCTCTTCTGAAAGTATACTGACTTGAACATCTTTCCATACATTCCTCTAAATGCATATAACTTAAAATAATGGAACCATAATGTATCTACCTACTATTAGGTACGTAACTTAATTTTGTTTCATCACTTAATCTTCCTAGTTAAACTTTTTGTATTTATTTCAATTTTGACAGCTTAGTTATGCGTCCTCCTGGCAAAGAAAGGGAAAGTAAGGAGATAGATAATTTGAATATATGTACATGCTTCTCTTATTCTTATAACACTCACATCTGTATGACAGTTTATAGTTCACATAGTATCTTCCCATGATTTATTTTATTTAATCCTTAAACTCTATGAGATAAGACAAGGAGGCATTTTTGTCCTTAGTTGACAATGAAAAAAAATAAGGATTGATATGGTGAAATATCCTGCTCAAAGTCACAAAACTGTTACTCAAGTCCTTCATTCAACAAAATTATGCCAGAGACCATTAAAATAAAAATGATTAGAAAGTGATATTTGCTGTTCTCTCTGTAATTCAAAATTTATTGAGAGAAAAGCATATAAATAAGCACAAGCAAATCATTCAGAGGTCCTATAGGAGATGCCTAAACAAGGTAAGAGAGAGTAGTCACTTTTTTTGTTGTTGTTGTTTGATAATAGGCTATGCCTTGCAAAGCAAAATAGAATAATTGTATCATTAACTGGAGAGAGAGAGAGAGACAGAGAGAGAGAGAGAGACTCCAGTTTAAAGGAGATCTGGTGAGAAATGGGGTAATGCGCTCCTTAGGGACTTCTTCTTGAGATATGTACTTACATAGAAAGAAATAAACTTGATGTCAAGATTTTACTGAATTTTTGTGAACAAGCAGAGTTTGTGGACATCTTTTCAAGGTAAAAGCCTGTCATGTAGACAAAATGAAGATGAGTTAGAGAGCTTTACCAAAACACTATAAAGTATGCATGTCATGTTCTTCAATTTCAAAGATTCATGCTGTTCATTCTAACTCAGAAAAACAGGCAATTGCTAAAGAAAAATTATTTTAAGCTGAAATTTTCAGCAAGCTCACAGTAATTTCAGGTATCTTCATAATGGTAGAGAGGGCAAGATGCATCAATATGTAAACTGGCTCAAAGACTGGAGAAATTAATATTTAAGCAGGCGACTGAAGTCTACCCTGTTCACTCAAGAAGTGAAGAGGCAATAACAGGTAATAGAACCCAGCAAAAACAAGGTGCCTTGTGGAGGTCATGGAAATGGAAAAGAAAACCAGTGAAATAAAAAATTTCATGAAAAAGGTTCTAGTCTGAACTGAGAGAAGCCAATAGTACACTGTAGAATTGGATTCAGAATTGCTTTCAAAGTTTTATTCTCCTACTTGGATATGAAATTTTTTTTTTCCTTTCAAATAACAATATGGACTTCTAGTTTTCAGTTTAGCATGTAGGAAATTTGAAAGTCTTTGTTCTAACAGTAAGTAAAAAACGGAACAAACCGTAAAAGCAACAACTCTTCTTAGAGTCATCACAGAAATGAGGTCACAGGGCAAACCACTAAACCCCAAAATGGAGAGACAGACAAGTGGATGCAAAAAATTACAACTTACCAGGACAGAAACCCATAATCAAAAACATCCTTAGAAACCAATGACATAGTAGGGAAAACTGAACTGTAATTGATGAGTTGCTGGAGGCTTAGATTGGAAAAGTTGGAGAGTTGAAAACTCTATGGAACCAAGTAATAGGAGGGCCCTGACACTTTTGTGAGCTTTACTTCTTAGAGCTCTCTATCAGGTTTTTACAGTGCAGATGCGAGAAAATTCCCTGGTGTTTCCAGCATGGTAAAAATGTACTCACTTTTAAATACCCCAGAGCATTCTATTCTTCTTAACGAGGCCTGCCCTCAAGAGAAAATATTTCACCAGAGCGTAACCTATTGCGATTTTATCAGAGCCCAGCTGACCTGAGGAAGTACATAAAGCAAATCCAGCCCTCTCTAGCTTTCACATGGGTGAAAGGAAATAGTCAAATTCAGCCTGTTCTAGCCTTTCAAATGAGAGAAGGGAAATACACAACTCTAGCCACCCCCTCCGCCTCAGCCATCTGGTCCTACTTTTGAGTGGGAGGAGGACTGAGAAGCACTGATGAATTTTATGGTTCAGGGGCATAGGCTCACTAAAAAGACTGCAAGTTAATTATAGGACTACAAAACAGCCCCTTCTCTCCACTTCACCACCACATCCCTAAAGACTTATTTACTGCAGTTCCCTGTGCCCTCCTTCATGTCAGGATATCCAGAAAAAAATTGCAAGGCAATTTAAACACAGTTTAAAGAAAGAGCAAGATTCAGAACCAGTCTCAAAAATGGCAGGGATGTCGGAATTATCAGACCATCAATTTAAAAATACTAAGATTAATAAGGGCTCTAATGTACAAAGTAGACAACGTGATAACAGATAAATAGTGCAGAAAGAGAAATGAAAACTCTAAGAAAGAATTTTAAAAAACGGCTAGAGATAAAAAACACAGAAACAAAGAAAGCCTTTGATGGGCATTAGTACACTGAACATGAGTGAGGAAGGAATCTCTGAACTTGAAGATGTCAGTAGGAACTTCCAAAATTGAAAAGCAAAGAAGAAAAAAAGAACAAAGTATCTAAGAACCATAGACAACTTTAAAAGGTGTAACATAGTCAGACTTTCAGTAACAACATGGTTGAACTCAATAGCATGATAAACCAACTCGATAAAATTGATATCTGTAGACTACTTTATCTAACACAGTAGAATACATATTATTCTCAAGGTCACATTAAATAATCATCAAAATAGACCATATTCTGGACCATGGAAACAGCTTCACAGAATTAAAATAATATAAATTATTCAATGCCTACTCTGAAATCACAATGGAATTAAACTAGAAATCAATAAAAATGATAGTTGGAAAATTCCAAAATACTTAGAGATTAAGCAACACACTTCTAAATAACACATGAGTCAAAGAAGAAATCTCAGGACAAATTAATACATATTTTGAATTAAATCAAAATGAAAACACAACTAAATTCATGGGAAATAACAAAAGCATACTTAGAGGGAATTTGTAGATTTATAAAAGAAGAATTTATAAAAGAAGAATGATCTTAAATTAACAGTCTAAGGTTACACCGTAGAAAACTGGAAAGAAAAAGAACAAATTAGATCTAAAGTATGCAGAATGAAAGACATAATAAACTGTAGATCAGAAATCAATAAAAATGAAAATTAAAAAATCAATAGAGAAAATCAATGACACTAAAGTCTGATTCATTAAGATCAATAAAATTAATAAATCTCTAGCCAGGCTAACTAAGATAAAAAGAGAAGGGAGCAATTACCAATATCATAAATGAAAGAGGGTATATTACTGAAGATCTCATGGATATTAAAAAGATAATAAAAGAATATTTGAAATAGCTGTACTGTGTCAACACATTCGTTAACCTAGATGACATCTACCTATTCCCTGAAAGACACAATCTACCAAAAGTGACACAAAAAGAAGTAGACACTCTGGATAGCCTATATCTACTAATGAAATAGAATCAATAATAAATGCCCTTCAAAACAGAAATCACCAGGCTCATACGGATTCACAGGTGCATTCCAGGAAACATTTAGGGAAGAAATTTTACTAATTCTCTGCAATCTTGTTCAGAAGATAAAAGCAGAGAGAGCACTTCTTAACCCATTCTATAAGAAGAGGATCACCGTAATACCAAAATCAGATGAAGACATTCTTAAAAAAAGGAAATTAGAGACTAATATCTCCCGTACATAGATGCAAAATTGTCAACAACATTTTAGTAAATCAAATCTAATAATGTATACATAATTGAAAACCATGACCAAATGGAATTTTTCTCAGGTATGCGAGGAAATTTCAACATTTGAAAACGAATTCATTTAATTCATCACATCAACAGGCCAAAGAAAAAAAATCATATGATCATATTAATAGACACAGAAAAACCATTTCACAAAATCCACACTATTCATGATAAAAACATTGCAAACTATCAATCCTATGCAGAGAAGAAAAATAAAGAAAAAGGAAAATAAATAAAAAGCATACAAATTGGACAAGGAAATGTAAAATTATATCTGTGTGCAGATGATATAATTTAGTATGTAGAAAAACCTAAAAAAAATCCACGAAAAACTGTTACAACAAACAATTTCAGCAATGTTTCAGGATACAAAATTAACAGACGAAATATTAAGTGTTTCTGTACACTAACAAAGACCAATCAGCAAAAGAAATTAAGAAAATACCAATTTTAGAAATAAATTGTCAGTATAAAAATTACAGAAAATTACAAGTGTTAAAACGTGGAGAAATTGAAACACTTGCACACTGTTGGTGGGAATTTAAATTAATTCAAGTACTATGAAAAGAATATGAAGTTTCCTCAAAAAATTAGAAAATGGAATTAGCATGTGATATGGAAATCCCACTTCTAGTCATATATCCAAAAGAATTTAAAGTAGGATCTCACAGAAATATTTGCACACTCATGTTCATCTCAGCATTATTCACAATGGCCAAGAGGTAGAAGCAACCCAAATGTTCACTGACAGATGAATAGATGAAGAAACATGATATATACACACAAAGTTATGTTATTCAGCCCTAAAAAAGAAAAAAATTCTGTCACATACTACCATATGGATGAACCTCCAGAACGTTATGCTAAGTGAAATAAGCCAGTCACAAAAAGTCAAGTACTGAATGATTCCATTCATATGAAGTATTGAAAGAAATAAAGATCACAGAGGCAGAAAGTGGAAAGGTTTTTGTCATGAGTGGGAACTGGGTGATGGAGGGTGTAAGAGGAATTAGTATTTAGTGGGTATAGAGTTTCAGTTTTGTAAGATGAAAAAGTTGTAGCAATTTGCTATGCAACCATGTAATAATAAACACTATTGAACTATATACTAAAAATATTAACAAAATACATTTAATAATGTAATGTTATGTGTTTTATTACCACAATAAAAATTAGTCAACTGCTTTCCTATATAACAATAATAAACAAATGGGATTTGAAATTAAAAACACATTACCATTGAAAATACCTGCTCTCTCAAAATGAAGTACTTAATATAAATCTAAAAATGTGTGCAAAGTCTATGTGAGAAAATTTACAGAACTCTGATTTTAAAAACTAAAGAAAAATTAAATGGAGAGGCATTTCATGTTAGTGGATAGAAAAACTCAATGTTTTCAGTATGTCACTTTTTTCTAATTTGAATTTTAGATTCAAAACAATCCAAATAAAAATTCCAGCAAGTTATTTTGTGGATATCAATAAGCTGATTCTAAAGTTAACATACAAGTAAAAGTACCAGAACAGAAATGCAATATTGAAGGAGAACAAATTTGAAGGACTGACATTATTTTACTTAAAGGCTTATTAGAAACCTACAGTAATTAGGCCAGGCATGGTGGCTCACGCCTGTAATCCCAGCACTTTGGGAGGCTGAGGCGGGCGGATCATGAGGTCAGAAGATCGAGACCATCCTGGCTAACACGGTGAAACACCATCTCTACTAAAAATACAAAAAAAAAAAAAAAAATAGCCGGGCATGGTGGTGGGGGCCTGTAGTCCCAGCTACTCAGGAGGCTGAGGCAGGAGTGGTGTGAACCCACGAGGCAGAGCTTGCAGTGAGCCGAAATCACACCACTGCACTCCAGCCTGGGGTGACACAGCGAGACTCCATCTCAAAAAATAAAAGAAACCTACAGTAATTAAACAGTGTAACATTGGCAAAATAATTGACAGAAAGATCAGTGGAAAATATTAGAGAGTTTAGAAATAGATCTGCACAAATATAATCAACTTATTTTTGACAAGGATCAAAGGCAATGTAATGGAGAGAAGATGGGCCTTTCAACAAATGGTGCTGAAACAACTGGATATGCACATGCAGAAAAAGAAATAAATCTAGATACAGACCTTACACACTTCACAAAAAAATTAACTCAAAAGGGATCTCATACCTAAATATAAAACGTAAATGTAAAGCTCCTAGGAGATAACATGGAGAAAATTTAAATGATGAATATGCTGATAACTTTTTAGATACAACACTAAAGGTAGGATACATGAAAGAAATAATTGAAAAATTGAACTTTATTAAAATTAAAACTTCTAGTCTTTGAAACACACTGTCAGCAGAATGAGAAGGAAAGCAATAGACTGAGAGAAAATGATTGCAAGAAACATGACTGGCGAAGGGCTGCTATCCAAAGTATACAAAGAATTCTTGCATCTCATCAATGTAAAAACAAACTGATTAAAAAATGGGCTGAAGACATAAAAAAACACTTCACCAAAAAGACACACAGATGAAAAATAAACATGTGAAAAGATGCTTCTGTGTTTTCAACATCATATATCATTAGGAGATTATAAATTAAAACAATGAGATACCACTACATACCTATAATAATTGTCTAAATTCAAAACACAAACAGTGTCAGATGCTGGCAAGGATGTGGAGAAATAGCAAGCTTCATTCACTGATGGTGGGAATGCAAAATTGTGTGGCTACTTTGGAAGACAAAACACTTTCTTACAGAACTAAATATATTTCTACCATACAGTACAGCAAATGTGCTCCTTTGCATTTACCCAAAAGAGTAGAAAACTTATATCCATGCAAAAACATGCAAACTGATGTTGACAGATGTTTGGCAACATAATTGCCAAAACCTGGAAGCAACCAAAATGTGCTTAATCAAGGGAATGGATAACATGCCTTAGTACATTCCAACAATAGACTATTATTCAGTGGTTAACAGAAAGGAGTTACCAACCATGGAAACTCCCATGAAATAGTCAAACTCATGTCGTGGGGGTTTGTTGTACAGACTACTTCTTTACCCAGGTATTAGGCCCAGTACTTCATTAGTTATCTTTCCTGAGTCTCTCCCTCCTCCCACTCTCCACACTACAATAGAACCCAGTGTCTGTTCCCCTCTATGTATCCATGTGTTCTCATTATTTAATTCCTACTTATAAGTGAGAACATGTTGTATTTGGTTTTCCGTTCTTGCATTAGTTTGCTAAGGATAATGGCAACCAGCTCCATCCATGTACCTGCAAAGGACATGATCTCATTCTTTGTTATGGCTGCATAGTATTTCATAGTGTATGTATACCATGTTTTCTTTATCCAGCGTACCATTGATGGGCATTTAAGTTGATTCCATGTGTTTGCTATTGTGAATAGTGCTGCAACGAACATTTTCTGCATATGGCTAGCCAGTTTTCCCAGCACCATTTATGGAATAGGGAGTCTTTTCCCCATTGGTTGTTTTTGTCAGCTTTGTCAAAGATTACATGGTCATAGGTATATCATCTTATATATCAGCTCTCTATTCTGTTCCATTTATCCATGTCCCTGTTTTAGTACAAGTACCATGCTGCTTTGGTTATGGTAGTCTTGTAATATAGTTTGAAGTCAAGTAACATGATGCCTCCAGTTTTGTTGTTTTTGCTTAGTATAGTCATGGCTATTCAGGCTCTTTTTTGGTTCCAAACTATTTTAAAATAGTTTTTATTTTTCTAGTTTTGTGAAGAATGTTGTTGGTAGTTTGAAAGGAGCAGCACTGGATCTATAGAATGCTTTGGGCAGTATGGGCATTTTCATGATATTGATTCTTCTTATCCATGTGCATGGAGTGTTTTTCCATTTGTTTGTGTCTTCTCTCATTTCTTTGAGCAGTGTTCTGTAATTCTCATTGTAGATATCTTTCACCTCCCTGGTTAGCTGTATGCCTCCGTATTTTATTCTTTCTGTGGCAATTGTGAATAGGACTGCCTTCTTGATTTTTTCTTGGCTTGGCTGTTGTTAGTGTATAAGAATGCTAGTGATTTTTGTACATTGATTTTGTATCCTGAAACTGTTGATTGTTTATCAGCTGAAAAAATTTTGGGCGGAGACTATGAAGTTTTCTAGATAGAGAGTCATGTGGTCTTCAAACAAGGATACTTTGACTTCCTCTGTTCTTATTTGGATACCCTTTATTTCTTTCTCTTGCCTGATTGCTTTGGCTAGGACTTCCAAGAGGGCATCCTTGTCTTGTGTTGGTTTTCAAGAGGAATGCTTCCAGCTTTTTCCCTTTCAGTATGATGTTGGCTGTGGTTTTGTCATAGATGACTCTTATTACTTTGTATTACGTCCCTTTAATACTTAGTTTTTGAGAATTTTTAACATGAAGGGATGTTGAATTGTATTGAAAGTCTCTTCTGCATTTATTGAGATAATCATGTGGTTTTTGTCTTTAGTTCTGTTTATGTGATAAATCACATTTATTGATTGACGTATATTGAACCAATCTTTCATCCCATGGATAAAGCCCACTTGATTGTGGTGGATAAGCTTTTTGATATACTGCTGGATTCGGTTTGCCAGTATTATTTTGAGGATTTTTGCATTGATGTTCATCAAGGAAATTGGCCTGAAGTTTTCTTTTTTGTGTGTGTCTTGGCCAAGTTTTGGTATCAGTATTATGCTGGCCTCATAAAATGAGTTAGAGAGGAAAGCTTCCTCCTCAGTTTTTTGGAATAGTTTCAGCAGGAATGGTACCAGCTCTTCTTTGTATGTCTGATAGAATTCATCTCTGAATTTTTCTGGTTCTGTGCTTTTTTTGGATGCTAAGCTTTTTATTACTAATTGAGTTTTGGAGTTTGTTATTGGTCTGTTCAGGAATTCAATTTTTTCCTGGCTCAGTCTTGGAAGAGTAAAATATACTGTTTCATAAGCATGTTATTGATCAGCATTTAATAATCAATATTTATATTCTGGGAGGAGATAAATTACCTCTCTCATTTTTTTTTCTGCAGCACATAGAAGAATACCTCAGACATATAAGGTTTTCCATTTCATTTTAATACATAAATCAGTATAATACTCATTACACTAATCTCACATGTATACTTATATGTGTATTTTAGATAATTCTGTACAGATTAATGAAAAGAAAACATTTATTTATTCATCCACTTGTGACTAAGGTATCCATCTGTTCAACAAATGTTTATTGAAACTATATTGTTCCAGACATTATAATAGTAATGAATGCAGGAATGGACATTGTCTTCCTTGTGTTTTTAGTATAACCACAGATATACCATTAAGCAACTATTAAAACAGAGAGTGATAAATGCTATAATAGGGAAAAAACAGGTGCTGATACCCAAAAGCCCTATAGGTTAATTTGGAGTTTCAGAGAAGGTTTTTACCAGGAAATAATAAGTTGACATTAAGAACAAAATGATAGTAAGAAGTTACCCAAACTAAAAGGTAGCAGAGAAGCACATCAAATGGCCATCCCACATAGAGATATGTTGAATGCACACGAAAAAGAAAGAACAATGAAGAGATGAAGGGGATTGAGTGTGACGAGATCAGAGAGAAAGAGGTGGCTAGACACTGGGCAAGTCATGGCTTGACTATGACAGACTCTATAATCAAATCTGGAAGTAAATATTTTACCCTAAGGAAAGTGGACAAAGATTAGAGTATAAAAGCAGAAAAACATATAGAGACAGGGTGTCCAGTAAGAATATATGAGAATATTCTTGAGTTAAATAATATTAGCTTTAATGGAAATGTTGGCAATGAAAATGGAAAATAGGAAAATGTATAAATAAGTAGAAATAAATTGAACATTCGTGAACAATTAATGGATCAAAGAAGAAACCAAAAAAAAAAAAAAAAAAACTAAGCCCAAGTTAGCAGAAGGAAGCAAATAAGATAGATTACAGTAGAAATAAGTTAAATAGAGATTAGAATAATAACAGAAAAGATGAACCAAACTAAGAGCTAGTTTGTTGAAAACATGAGTAAAATTTTAAAACATTTAGTTAGACTAAGAAAAAATAGAGAAGACACAAATAAATAAAATGAGAAATGGATAATAAACCTGGCCAGGAGAGAAAGATATTAGTCCTGAAAGTAGGAACAGGAAGCAGTTAAATCCCAGATGAAGCAGCACAGCTGAGTGACTTTCCCTGCTTGCCTCTTTTCCCTGCCTGAGAAGGAAGCTGAGAGTTTTTTTTCTTTTCTTTTTTCTTTTCTTTTCTTTTCTTTTCTTTTCTTTTCTTTTCTTTTCTTTTCTTTTCTTTTCTTTTCTTTTCTCTTCTTTTTTCCCTGCCCTGGGACCTGATAGCTTCACTGATGAATTCTACCAGATATTTAATAAAGAATTAATATCAATCTTTTTTCAAAGTCTTCCAAAAATAAAAAGAAAGGAAAGAAGACTTTCAAACTCATTTCACAAGGCTAGTATTACCCTGATACTAAAGCCAGACAGATAAATAATTTAAAAACACTTACAGGCCAATATCTGTCATGAACATAGATACAAAAATTTTAACAGAATACCAGCAAACTGAATTCAACAAACTATTAAAAGGCTGATATACTGTCATCAAGTGGGATTGATTCCTGAAATTCATGGATGGTTCAATATACACAAATTAATAAATGTAATACACCACATTAATAGAATGAAGGATGAAAATCATGTGATCATCTCAATATATGCAGAGAAAGTATTTGATAAAAAGCAACATCCTTTCATGTAAAAAATTATCAACACATTATGTACAGGAGAAATGTACCTCAACACAACAAGCCCACAGCTAATATCATACTCAATGTTGAATGTTGAAAGCTTTTTTTCTAAGATCAAAAAACAAGACAAGAATTTCCCCACTTGCAACTTCAATTCAACATTGTTCTGGAAGTCCTAGTTAGAGGAATTAGGTAAGACAAGGAAATAAAAGGCATCCAAAATGGAAACGATAGAGTAAATTTTTTCTGTTTGCAGATAACATGATTTTATACTAAGAAAATCCTAAAGACTTCACCAAAACACTGTTAGAACTAATAAATGAATTCAGTGAAGTCACAGGATACAAATCAACATATAAAAATCGATTGCATTCCTATGTACTAAAAACAAACTATCCAAAAAATAAATTAAGAAAAAAATTCATTGAAAATACCACTCAAAAAGAATAAAATACATAGCAATAAATTTAATAAAATGAATGACATATCTGTATATTGAAAATTCTGATATTGATGAAGATTTAGGAAGACAAAAATAAATGCAAAGATATCCTCTGTTCATAGATCAGAGGAATCAATATTGTTAAAGTGTTCATACTACCCAGAAATGTAATCTCTATCAAAATTTCAAGGGCATTTTTCACTGAAATAAAAAAAAAAACCAAATCCTAAAAGTCACATGGAACCACAAAAAACTAAATAGCCAAAGTCGTAAGAATGGCAAGAAAAACAAAGCTGGAGATATCAAACTGCTTGATTTTTAAATATACTACAAAGCTAAAGTAATTGAAGCAGTATGGTGCTGCCATACATATGGGGATATACACTAATGGAATAAAACAGAAAGCCTAGAAATAAATCCACACATTTATGGTTAATTCATTTTTGGCAAAGGTACCAAGAACACACAGTGAGGAAAGGATAGTCTCTTCAATAAATCCTGCTGGAAAAACTGTATATTCACATACAAAAATAATGAAATTGGATCTTTATCACACACTATTTAAAAAATCATTGCAAAATGGATTGAAGGCCCAAAACTGTAACAATACTAGAAGAAACCTTAGGGAAAAAGCTTCAGGATATTGATCTGGGAAATGTTTTTTTGGATATGACCTCAACGTACAGGCAGCAAAAGTGAAAATGGACAAATGGGATTATATCAAACCAAAAATCTTCTATACAATAAAGGAAACAACAGAGTGAAAACACAACCAATGGAACTGCAGAAAATATTTGCAAACCATGCGTTTGATGAGGGTTTACTATACAAAATGTATAAGTAACTTAAAAATTTCAATAGCAAGAAAGCAAATACACTGATTAAAAAATGGGCAAAGGAGCAGAATAGACATTTTTCAAAAGAAGACATACAAATGGACAACTGGTGTATGAAAAAATGCTCGGCCTTACTAATTAGGGAAATGCAAATTAAAACCACAATGAGATATTACTTTGCAACTGTTAGAATGGCTAAGATATATACATGTGTGTAAATGTGTATGTATGTATACAGAAACCTGGGTCAATGTACACTGAGTGTCAAAAGTGCCTTTTTTTGGCCAGTTAAATGACCCTTTGTATATAGGCTGTGTGTGTGTGTGTGTGTGTGTGTGTGTATATATGTGTGCATATATATGTGTGTGTGTATATATATATAACACAACAGAATACCATGCTTTACATGCTTAATCTTAAACACAAAGAAGTCTTAAACACAAGGAAATCTTGTCATTTGTGACAGCATGGATGTACCTGGAGAACATTTTTGTTAGGTGAAGTAAGCCAGGCTCAAAAAGCAAATACTGCATGATCTCACTCATATGTGGAACTAAAAAAAGTCAAACTTACAGAAGCAGAGTAGAATGGTGGTCTTCATGGTCTGGGGTGTGGGAAAATAAAGTGATGTTGGTCAAAGGGTACAAAGTGTCAGTTATGCAGAGTGAGTAAATCCTGGAGACCTAATCTATAACTTGATGAATATAGTTAATACACTATTATATGTTTAAAATTTGCTAAAGGAGTGGATCTTAAATGTTCTCCAGATCCCCACACACACTCAATGGTAAGGATCTTAGATAATGGATATATTAATCAATTTGGTTCTGGTAATCATTTCATAATGTACACTTGTATCAAACCATTCTATTATACACATTAAATAGATACAGTTTTTTGTCAATTATACCCAATAAAGCTAGAAAAAAAAAAAGAAGATGAAAATCATGGAGTTTTGAGAGATATAGGATTTACAGGTTGACTTGATGTGGATATACAAAATAAGAGAGAAGTCAAGGGGAGCTCCCTGTTTCTGGCTTTGACAATGAGCTGGATGCTAGTACCCTTCACTACAAGGAGAAATCAATATGTATTACAAATTAGCTACACAGGAACGGGTTGACATCACATTTGAACCTGTTGTTTGTGTAATACATCCACTGGTGACATTGAATGAAGGGTTGGGTTTATGGTTATAGAGCTCAGGAAATACAGATTTTGGAGTCTTAGCCTTATACAAGAACACTGAATCCTTAGAAATAAATAAGATATTCCAGATAAAGCGTGTAAAGCATCGCAAGTGAGGCTAGAAATGAGGAATTGAGAATGCCAAATGTAAAGTGAGTTGCAGGAGAAGAGCCTGCTTTTGAAGAATCTGTGAATAAAGTGCCTCAGAATACAGAGACTATAGGAGGGAAACGTCTGCAGTGATATTTGCTTGAAACAAGTTAACTTTTACTTTGGCTTATGAATAATTGGTGTCCCTGTCAAGAGCATTTCCCATGAATTAATTATGAGAGAAGTCACACAACAGTAGTTCCAGAAATATGTGAGAATTAGAAAATGAAGGCTGTAAAATGCAACAAGCTATTGAATGGACAGGAATCTTAGAATTTTAAAGTCAAAGAAATGCTGACCACAGTTAAGAGATATCAGAAGAGAAGAATCTGTGGTTATGCAAAATAGTTATACAACAGTTATACAAAGGCCAGCTGGCTCTTATTAAATAGAAAATGAGGGAAAAGTGGAGGAATGGCATGCAATATTCAAAAACTCCTGTTGCTTTCTACAATTATCATTGAAAGTCACATAGTACATCCTTACTAATGTTTAGTGTCTTGTCCTTATGTGATATTTGTAAGAGCATGGCTCCTTTTTCTGTATTATTGACCAGCCTTCACATTTTATTTGGGAGTATAATTTAATTTTATAAGACATGTGGAAAATAAAACTTTTACCAAATAGTCTTTTAAGAATCTAAATGGATACAGTTAACTGTTTCCAACGTGAAACCTCACTGATTAAACAAACATGTATTGAGTGACTGCTAAATGCCAGGTACTGAACACATAGAAGAAAATAAAGCATTTTTTAAAAACTAAACAAACAAATAAAAAACTGCCCCATGGTGTTAACATACAACCTTCACTTATAAAATTTTATGTTTACCTTAAATTTCATGTAGTTTCATAAACAAATCCATTAAATTTCATGTTATGTGATGAGACCTGTCATTTCTTATTCTTTTCCCTAACCCTCAATATCTCATACAGTTCTCTGAGTAAATGGAATTAATATTAAAATGACCTACTTAATTATTACCACATTTACTAAAATATTGGGAATTAAATAATTAAAGATATTTACTAATATGAGAATTGGATTGGTTTCAAATATGAAGTAGCCATATCATCTGACTATATTTTATGTAAGTTGAGCTGGCCCAATTTGTGATAATAAGGACAAAATCTCAGAGATCCTCTAAGGGAGAACGCAGTAATCTTTATTAATTCCCCATCTTTGATTCAACCATTTTGACTTATTTTTCCTATTTTTAGAAATTTTAAGGAAAGCACTTTACCATAAGTTGACCCTGATTAGTACCACTTTTCCTTATGTGATTCTCCATGAAGTTACAGAAAGGACAATAATAATTATTACCATTTACTTTCACTGTTATTTTACAATGAAACACAATCTGTGAAAATAAAAATGAAAGTCCTATCTAAAGTAAATATCTTCTCCCTGCTACAATATAGATTGTGGTTTAATTTTCAAACATATATTTTAAATTCATATTTGAAGTGAAAACTGTTTTTTGTTTGTTTGTTTGTTTGGGGGATGCAAAATTTAGTAGCACAAATAACCTTTACATGTTTCCAATGAACTAGCATAGATGAGTCACTGAGGTAAAAGCTGTCACTATTGAGTTTGTACCAACTCTACTGTAAACATAGAAAGGTTATAATGTGGTAATATATTGTGGCTAAAAGACAAAGTTTAGCAATATTATGTATTTGAAAGTTTAATTTTAGTTTAGTATATTTTTCATTTCATAAATTTGAAGTAAAAGTAGAAAGGAATAATGATAAAATGATGAGGTTCTCAACACTTCAGGCAATTTGGAAATTCTCTAATTAGCAATAATTGCAGAATCAGCGCTTACTACACACTTGAAATAAATGCCTCTTTAAACAAACTACAATTTAAATATTTCTCATACAAATATAGAAAACAACGTTGTCTTAAAAGGAAATAAAATAAAAACGTACTGATAAGCTGCTGAGTTAATTGCTGTGTTCAAATTATCCTATCTATTTTTACCTTTAAAAATGTATGCCCTACTCTTTTATTACCATCTGCAGAGATGAAAAACTATAATTTTTGCACTTGAATTAAAGCCATGCTCACCTACTTTAAAAATAATAACTGATACTTCATGTCTCATGATATCAAGGAAAAAGTAGAATAAATCCATATTAAATTAATAATAACATAATTAATGTATTTATGCTACCATACCATATTAAGTGTTTTGAGAAAAGGGACAAAATACTTCTAGTTTATTGTTTTGATTGTTGGAAGGATCCAGAAGCAAATAATTTCTAAATAGTAGTTTTTTCTTATTTCTTAATTTGTAGTATTTACTTTTTTTCATTGTGGTTTTGATTTTAAGTTTATTAGAAATAGAAATTATAATGTTGTGTTTCAGGGTGTATGTAAGGTATTAATTTTAGCTTGTTAACCAATGAGTGCACTTTTCTTTTTCCTGCAACAACTTGCTCTCTCAGCTGGACTTCTTTCTATCTAACCAGATACTTTCAAGATCTGGGAGCTTCAGGTTCCTTGCTCCCTTGGCTTTGCCGTTGATAACTTCCTGTCCAATCCTACCAAAGTCTGGAACTGGAACATCCAAGGGTTGCCCTTAGACGCCTTCTCTACTGAGAATGGCATCATCATCAAGCGAGGCCATAGGTAAGGGTGCAGCTGGGAGCGGGTGTGGCCTGGGAGCAGGGGCTGTCCTCTGACCTGTGCTCGCCCTTTAGGTGGGCACGGGTAATACAAACAAAAAGAGCTGGAGAATGGTCCAGGTCCAAACATAGCTACTTTCAAACCGTTGATAACTGGGATGAAAAACAAGAATTTCGTGATGGTATTGTTTAAAAAAGAATGAAAGACTAACTTGCTTTTCTTAGTATTTACTAAATCAGAAACCTTGCTGTACACACACACACACACACACACACACACTTACTTTCTTAAACATAAGGAAGCTGCTTGTATTGGTTTTTTGCTTCTTTATGTTTTCCTTTAATATAAAATTGGATAAAATGTTTGAATGCCGTTATTTTACTTTTCTTAACTCTGTGTGTAGAGTGTTATGCAATTTTTTTCCTCTTCATATAATTTACAATCCTTTAGATTTTAAAAGTTACGTTTTTCTCATTTTCTTTCTTTGTAAATGGTAGTGGGTAGCAATTTGTGGATTTAGGTGAAGTGACATAGACTTTCCTATGTCACTTCTTTCACAGGAAGAAGTGTTTAAACTATAAACTGAGGAGGAGAAAATATCTAGGAAAAGAGAAGAAAGTTGGCAAAACCATGGTCTCCTTCTTCCTGAATTTGTAACTTGGCCTACAAAGAAAGCATCAGTCCTACTACACAGGAAGAGTCAACACTCGGAGGAGGCCTTCTGCACTTTGTCCTCTCCTTCTTTTCACTCCTCATAATGGGAAAGAAAGTAAGTTATCTAATCTGTGAAATAAGAATATGTTGCATATAACCAGTTTGGCCTCTTCTTCGTCTTTTTGGAGGGGCATATGCTTAGAAAACACAGTTTTCCCCTCTTACCTTTCTTGGGAGACATGTTCCACGATTGTCAGTGCATGCCTGAAATGTATGATAGGACTGAACACTAAATTTACGGTGCTCGTTCCTGTACATATACTATGATAAAGTTTAATTTATTAGGTATAGTAAGAGATTGATAATAATATCTAATAGTAAAATAAAAAATATAAGAAGATACTGTAAAAATGTTACGTAGATATAGTCTTTCTCTCCCTCTCAAAATCCTGTAATACTCAGACCATAATTGACTGCAGGTAAATGAAACCACAGAAGACAAAACACGGATAAGGTGGGACTATCGTATTCATGCTCTTCTCTGCTATGAAATAATTTTACCACATTAGGGTCTGTGAATGCAGCCAGGGGAAGGGTGCTATTATGGGAGAGTGCCTCACTTTCAGGCAAAAGATATTCACAATAATCTTAGGACACCAACTTAATGGTAAAGGAGTTTTGCTTATTTCTAACTATCTGAATAGGGTGTGGACTTCTTAGTTTGTTCACAATTAAATAGAAGGGAGAGAAACATGATTATTTGGAAGTTCTGATTAATGTTTAACACTCTTGAAAATATAATGGAGTAAATGCATCTAATCATGGTCATTTACTCTTTTGCCATGACAATAAAACACTTTGAACTTGAATCCTAAAAGATATTTAAATTCTTATCTATAAATGATGTGATTTCTTTCCCATCTAGCCTAATCTCTGGTATATTTAACATGATGAATCCATATACATTTTGGGAACATATGCTTTATTTGAGAATTTATTCCATTCCCTAAGTATTTCTGAGCACAAATTCTATTTTATATAATTT
Organism: Homo sapiens; assembly: GCF_000001405.40. Lineage (NCBI taxonomy): Eukaryota > Metazoa > Chordata > Mammalia > Primates > Hominidae > Homo > Homo sapiens. Next base: position 174,245 of record NW_025791791.1, read on the forward strand.
GGTAGGTTCTGTGCAGATGAGAATAAAAGGGGGATCGTTTACCCTAATAAATGCTTATAGTTTTAGGAAAGGATAGACATTAAACAAAAAAATTGGTAAATATATAATTACAATTTGTGACAAGTACATTGAAGGATTTTTTAAAATCTCATTTTTATGCCAGTAAATAACAGGATATCCAGTTTAGACTGAGGATCAGAGAAGTCCTCTCTGAGGAAGTGCCTCTTAAGATGATGGCTGAAGAAGGCATATGAGTTAGCCCAATGGACAATGAAAGGAAAATTACTGTATTACAAGCAGAAAAAAACAACATGTGAATGCCTGGAGGCCCTGAGGCCCTTAGGTGAGAAACTGCTTGTCTGCATGTGGTTCAGAGAAAACAAATTATATAAAACGAAGTTAGCAGCGTCGGAAAGGTTTGTTAAGGATTTTTTGTTTTAAGATTTTGTAAGACCACTCAGGCTATTGTTTCGAGAATGAATCAGAGGCAGGAGTAGGGTTGGCGAGGATGCAAAAGAGATGGGGATATCTAATATTACTTTAGCAGACTCTCTCCTTTCTGTCACTTGTTATCCTGTGAAGATATCACTTGCTGCCCAATGAATAAAAATTAGGAAAATTGGTCTCCTGTTTTCTCATGCTCAGGGAACATCTTCTTTTCTGTACTTTTCTTCAGACAGGGAAGATCAGTGAAGTAATAAGAAATACACATATTGGTCTCTAACCCCAGTCCCTAGCACAGAACTCCTAAAACTATTGCAATTTTCTGAGCAATAGAGGTGCTAAAAGAATCTTTTGTTCTAATGTTTAGTCTCTGCCCTGATTCCTGAGACAAAGCTCCTAGTAACATTGTAGATAAAGGTGGTAGGTTAATTGTTTGTTCTAATATTTGGTCTTTGATGTAGGGTCTTGGCACAGAGGTCCTAAATCCTTTTGAATTTCCTGGGTAATAGAAGTATCTTTGGTTGTAATGAGGTGACTTGGTGGGTTTTAGGATGGGGCTGGTCACCAGAAAGACTAAACCGTGGTTATATGCTTGGAGCTCTCATCCCCACCCCCCATTCCTCAAAGAGAAGAGAAGGGCTGCAAATGGAGTTTATAATCAGTCATGGCTACATGATGAAGCCTCCCTAAAAATCTTTGAACTATGGGGTTCAGGAGCTTCTGAGTTGGTGAACACATCTGAGTGCTGGGAGGATGGTGCACCTCAACTCCATAGGGACAGAAGCTATCCTTCCAGACCTCACCCTATGTACCTCTTCCTCTGGCTGTTCATCTGTATCCTTGGTTATATCCATGATTAATAAGCCAGTAATTCTAAGTAAACTGTTTCTCTGACTTCTGTGAGCCACTAATGCAAAACATGATTTATAGCTGGTTAAGAGGAAGTATTGTTGATAACCTACTACTTGCAATTGGCCTTTGAAGTGGGGGAAATTTTTATGGTAATAAGCCTTTAACTTGTGGGATCTGACACCATATTAGTCCATTCTCATGTTGCTAATAAAGACATACCCAAGACTGGGTAATTTATAAAGGAAAGAGGTTTAATTGACTCACAGTTTAGCATCTCTGGGGAGACCTCAGACAACTTACAATCCTGGCAGACAGGGAAGCAAACATGTGTTTTTTCACATGGCAGCAGGAGAGAGAATGAGAACCAAGTGAAGGGAGAAGCCCCTTATAAACCATCAGATCTCATGAGAACTTACTATCACAAGAATAGCATGGGTAAAATAGCCCCCATGATTCAATTACCTCCCATCAGGTTTCTCGCAGGACATATGGAAATTATGGGAACTACAATTCAAGATGAGATTTGCATGGGAACACAGCCAAACCATATCAGACACTATCCAGATCCCATTATCTATCTAGATAGTGTCAGAATTAAATTGAATTATAGGAAACCCAGCTAGTGTCTGCCGGAGAATTATTTGGTGTGTGGGGCAAGACTCCCATACATCTAGTGTCAGAAATGTGGAGGTGAGTGATTGGTTGAGTGCATGAGACTAGAAATAAACAATATGATTTTTTCTTAAATCTCAGAAGGCCAACACTTTGCTTTTCTAGTTCTGAAATAATCAGAAAATAGGAGTGTCATTTTGCTGAGAATTGCCGTTTCAGACCAAAAATACACTGAACTTCAGAAAAAGATTAAGCAGTTCTGAGAATCAAGGGCTATGAAAGTAAAACGAAAATAAGACAGAGAGGAAGGAAAAAAGTGTGACTTCCTATTCTCATGCCTCAGTGTGTGTGTGTGGGGGGGGTGGGGTGGGAGTGTATGTGCGTGCTCATATATGCACTAGTTTAAGAATCTAGTATGTTTCAATTAATTTTAATTTTCAGTTTGTCTTCAAAATCCATGTCTTCTTCCAGAGGTCCACTTTCAATAACAAAAACACTTCTACTTGCCTTTCTTTAGAAACTTAAACTATCATAAAAGTCATTTCTCTTTTCCTTCTTGAATTATTCAAAGTCTGGTGCCTTAGACTTTCTTCTTCTGCCCAGACTATGCTCACACTGATGAAACCTGGGGAATCTATTCCTTTGGGTTGGGGAATATTCCCTATTCTCTCCAACAGTAAACATAAAAGATGAATTTCTTCCTAAATTACTTAAGGGCAGACACACCAGTTCTAAGTATATTACATTTTCTCTAAAGCACACATAGTTTAGTCTCATTAAGGAATATAAATTTATCCCATCAATTAGACTTTGACCTGACTTGAAAAATGATAGCCTTAGTATTATGATGCTGAGAAGCATTTGCCTCCTTCCCAAGTCTTCTTTCAATACAGAAAGACACTACATTAGCTGAGAATGCAATATGTGGGAAATTGCCTTGATGCAGTGGAAGCACTAACTGGTGAGCTATCCCAGAGGTCGAGGAACAGAAAGGCTTTCAGACCAAATTAAAATGACCAAACCACATGGCTTATTAAATTGATTAAAATACTGAGCAAAAAACAAGGAGAATGAATTGGGGTAAGGTAATTCACTTAGAGAGGTGCAAACAGGGTGAAAGGACTACACTCCCTGAGTCCTAGGGTTCACAATGTGCATAAATCTTGCTTCTCTTTTGAAACATCAGCCTTCATGGGTGCTGGTTCAATGATGAGGGCCAGAGTTAATGTCTGAACAGAGAAGGGCCCCAAGGGAAGATATCCTGAACCAAGGACACAAACCTCCTCTTTCAGAGAGATGCAGGAGAAGTGTGCTTGATGCAAGAGTAGCATCAATTCATTTGTTGAACAGCCTTTGGTTTTATTTGCACTTTTGGGCAGGATCAGAATAGAACCATACTTGGTATCTTATTGAACTTCTTGGGTAGGACTAGAATAGAACCATGCTGTGTGTCAACAAGTGGTGGCTAATTGAGGTTTAATAAAGTTCTTGATCAAGAAGAAGTGGCATCCTCAAGATGTGGGTCTTTTCATCCTTTGCATCTAAGCAGCATATTTTTGTTCCATCACATTTTCTATTTATTCTATCTCTGGTTGTCATACAGGTTACTAACTTACTATCTGTTTTACCAGATCATCTGAATTCTACCTATGTCTCACAAATTACTTCTTTTTCATTATATATAATAAACCTATCCTGTGGGTTTTGCCTATATCTCACATGCTTATTTTCCAGCATATTGTTGTCCATGTTTAGCACTTCTTATGAATTCCATCCATCCTATTTGTTTTTTAATCTTCTATAGCAGAACTGAATATTCTCAACAGTACAGCAAAATCCCATTACATAATGCCATTAGCCAATCCCTCTAATTTGATTACTGTTATAATCACAAAATTTGTTCATTGTATTCCCCAATATTTTTCCAGACCAAAAAAAGAGAGCTTGCATTTTTTAAAGGAATTAAGAGACATTTGTCATACTTCAATTGAGAGATGATTTTTGCCTTAGCCTGGGCCTACCACACCAGATGTGGAAAAATGGATGAAACTGAGAGAAAATTAGCAGAACTAGGTGACTGATTTTATGTGGGATTTGCAGGAGAAAAAGATATCAAGGATAACTCCAAGTTTTTTGGTTCTGTATAAGTATCACTCACTAAGAAGTGTGGGAAGAATGAAGGAAGAGTTAATTGAGGAGTAGAAAGACGTGATAAATATAAATCCAGTTTTGGAATTATGTCCCAAAAATATACCAGTTGTCAATTTGTTAAATATTGATGTGAAACTTAGAAGACAAATCTATTGAGTATATACAAAGTTGGGAATATAGCAACATATAGATGACATTGAATACAATGAAATTACATGATTTCATCTAAGGAGAAAATGTAGAAGTGATAAGAGAAGTCAGTGGATCAATATATATGACTATTTATACATACATATTTATAGTGTACTACATGCAGGCCAATGTTTTAGTTTTTTATTGTGTCAACTTAACTAAGCTGAAACTAAGTTTCTCAGAATTCCTCTCCATATGTAGTTCCAGGTTAGCTTAGGCCACAGGAGCTGTTTTTTCCTGAGATTTGGAAGATGAGAGTAAAGCAGCAACCATAATTTATTAGACATGGAAGCCTGGTGAAAAACACGAGCCACGTTGCAACTTAGGTCTGTCGCCACTCTTGTGGTTGGTTGGAGAAACAGCCAGGCCCACCGTTCCTGCGGGTCCAGTCAGTTTTCTCCTTCAGCTTCCTCAATTCTTCAATCAGATGATTACTTAGATCCAGGTATGAGTTTAACATTAGCTCCTTCTGCAGAACACACCCATCTCCAAAGTTGGAAGCATAGCAACAGTGAGAGACTGGAATGAGTTTAGTCCAGTCTTTCAGTTTTTAGCTGATTCATACAGGTTTTAGGTTGTCTTGCTTCTTTACCATCAAGTCTATTTTCACTCACCTCTTGCTTACCCTGCCAGGTACCCTACAGGTTCCAGTCATAGACAAAGAAGCATCAGCTTCACATAGACCATTGAAACAGCTTTCAGAGGATTCTGCTTCTCTGATCAAATTCTGAATGATACAGGTACAAACAATCTGATTCTGCTTTTGTGGTAATGCTACTGTAACACTAAGAAGAGCAGAATGATTTTGATAAGTTACATAGGACACAGCAGTGCACTGTACCAGTCATTAAACAATTATTTATCAACTTTAATTTCATCCTTTCATACTTTGCTCTATGATCTCAGGTTTGGAATTCTGCAAACCCTACTTTTCCTTGGTCGGATAGCTTTTTATTAGATTTTGCCAATAAGGGCTGAAATAAGTGCAGTGGCATACCATATGAGTATGGTGATGAGAAGGGGTATTATTTTGGGCAGTGATGGTAATGGTAGCAAATTCTAAAGTGAGAATGTGCCTAGCAGGTAAGAGGAAAAGCTTGGTGGGGTTTGAATTTGGAGAGGTAGCCCAGAAGATAGTTCCTTTAAGTGCAAAGCAAACATGTGTAGAACCTGTGGGCAATAGGAGACACCAGCTAACATGTAACTTGTGTATAGTGACCAATATGCATATGGAAGGATGCTTAACCAATTTATAAAGGAAATACCTAAAATTTAAAGTGATTTTATTTGTGGCTTGACAAATCAACAGGATTAACTATATATCACATTGGTGAAACTATAGATAAATGGGCCCTGTCACTTTCTGCTCACAGATAGTACCCATTTGGACAATTTTCTTAACAATACCTTACACAGAAAAGTTAAAATTTAATGCTTTTGACTCTTTTCAGTTCTGAGAGTTTATTCCAATAATTTTATCAGACAGAAACTTAAAGATATATGTACAAGGGAAGTTTTATTACAGAAATTCTTAAGATAACAAATTTAGAAATTACCTAAATTCATAAAATAAATTCTAGTACACCTATTAAAAGGAATATTGGGTAGCTATTAAATGTGGAAACAATGCACAGCAGAGGCAGCCAGTTGAGACCCAATATTGTTTTTTCCTTTCCTAATAGAATCCCCAGTATTTAGCTAATCATGTGGTAACATGCAATGAATATGTCACTTTTCATCTCATTGCTAAGGGTTGCTCTGTTACTAAATTCTGGTTGATGGCTTATAAGCATAAATGATTCCCTGAAAGGGAGGGCAAATGTGTTTTTTTCCTCTCTTCCTCCTTGTTGGCTGGAGTATGCTTTTAATAGTAGTAATGGCTGTAGTTCCGGTAGCCACCTTGAACCAAGAGGTGACCTTTGAAAGGCAGGCACTCACAGAGGAGTGACAGAAAAGACAGCTGGTGGCAGTGGGCAGGTGGGACGGACAAAGGATGAGAAAAATCAGAAAATTATGTAAATATGGCACCCTAAAGTTGCACCATAGATTGTCATCCCGAAGATTTCTGAATTTATTCCATTTATGTCACCTATTCTTCACATATCTGTTACTCAATTTAATTCTAGGTGATTATTTTTAAGGAAAATTGAAAAGCAGGTCATAGAGTGGCTTGTACAGTATGCTTCTCATTGTATATGTCTTTGTATGTGAGGAGACAAAGAAAGACAGAAAGGTGAAAATGAGAGAACATATGGCATCTTGTGGAACATAGATGATTTTCACTTCCCTCTTTATAATTTTTAGTTCTGTTTGGATAGTTTTACAAAATTGCCAGTGTTCTCAAGATTAAAACAAAATAAAGAGTTTTTAGTTTGCATAACTAAGCCTTCATCTAGATGAAAAGTTAAAATAATCACTACACACATGCAAACATATATTGGTAATTTATTTTAAAAATTTACATCATTTTGATAGTTTTTAATAGTAACTATTAAGGATTAAACAGGCTGGCCTTTATATGTGCTTATAGGTTAACTTATAGGTGAACTCAGGTATAAAACATGTTCAAGTATTATTGGTTTATTAAAAAATATCATTTGTAGCTCCCTAAAAAATATGTATTATTAAAAATATCCTATGAAATAATGAAAAATAAATCAAGAAAGATGAGAATCCCTTCTATAAATATAAATATGGGATTTCAAAATCAACTATTAGCAAAATTATTTTAAGTGTAGAAGAAATAAATAAACCTACATTACAAAGATGTCATACTAAGAAAGCAATCACTGCTTCATATTAGACCACTGGCTAGTATGATCATATAAGTATTCTAAATACAAAGATTATACTTTCCATTTATTCTATCTATTCTACATGAGGACTTCAAATAACACTGAGAGATGAATCATATGAAAAATAGCAATGTAAATATACATTTAATTATATAAAAGCTAGCTAAAAATCAACAGGAAATATATTTAATCAGGAAACTGGAAGAATTCCTATTAAGATAATAATTCAGAATATTCGCTATCATTATTTTAATTGGCTATATAATCTAGACATATAATAAATATAAAACTTTATGAAAATAAAATAAAAACTGTGGATATTGGTGAGAAAGAAATCTAGAATTTGTGGATAATAAAATTTTACGTAATTAATTTTCAAAGGATAAAACAAAAAATTATCTAGATCCATGAATTGAATGCTCAATAAAGCTGCTAATATGGATATATAATTTGATATTTACAAAAACTGCATATATGTATATATATATAATTTACATATTGATATGGTTTTCCTGTGTCCCCACCTAAATCTTATCTTGAATTGTAACTCCCACAATTCCCACGTGTCGTGGGAGGAACCTGGTGGGAAGTGGTCAAATCATGGAGGTGGGTCTTTCCTGTGCTGTTTTCATGATAGTTAATGAGTCTCATGAAATCTGATGGTTTTTTAAAGAGGAGTTCCCTGCACAAGCTCTCTCTCTTTGCCTGCCCACATCCAGGTAAGAAATGACTTGCTCCTCCTTGCCTTCTGCCATGATTGTTCCTCCGCAGCCTCCCCAGCCATGTAGAACTAGAACTGTAAGTCCATTAAACCTCTTTCTGTGGTTAATTCCCCAGTCTTGGGTATGTCTTTATCAGCAGCGTGAAAACGGACATATATATTTAAGAATCTAGGGAATCTGTCATTTTTTTTTCCTTTACATCCACAGCATTGATCAGTTAGAAATGTTGGAGGAAAACATTCTTATTCAAAATAGTAACAAAATACAAAATGTCTAGGTATATCCTGATTCAGAAATTTGAGGAAGTTATACAAAGAAAAATATAAACATTTGCTCAAAAATTAAAAAATGCATGACAATAAATTTGAAAACCATAGCTCTAGATAAACAAATGTACACATTTAAATTCCATTAGAACCCTATTTTAATTATCAGAAAACTTATACAGTCATTATAAAATTTACCTGGAAACACACACAGTATGTGACTAAGGACAGTAAGAACAAGAAAGGGCTAAAGAGGATGATCAAACAGTAATTAGCAATGTAATACAGCATAAGTCCTGAAAGATGAATCGGTGAATGTAACACTAATTATCTCTACCATAAACAATTGCCCACTGTGTGGCAGGCAGTGCAACAGGGAGGTGCTACATGCACATAATATTATACCTGCTCAATATGAGTCAGATACTAGCACGCCCACTTCATACCTGGAAACTGGTGTCAGATAAGCTAATTTATTAAAAGTACCATAATTAGTAATCTGAAAATTTATGATTCAGAAGGAGTCATTACACAATGAAGATGCTAATCAAAGAGAATGATTACCTGATTTTCAATGTTCTAGACCATATCTCCAGAGACCTAATTGTGGTTTGCTTTTTATAATGGAGGAATATGAGATTACCTGTTGTATGCTTATGTCGAAACTTTTTCTTTAAGCTAGTTTGAGTGAGTTTTAATCCCTCGTAGTAAAAGTTTCTCTAAAGTAGATACCAATGTCCAGTATTTTTCTTAAATATCGTCCAAGACACCCATTCCATAACACATTATAAATTAATATTAAAGACAATGTTACAATTGGTGTATATATATATATATATGATTATATATATATGATTCAAGTGGTGTATCATTGACAACTGGTAATTCATTGGAAAAAATCAATAATATCCCCATGTCACATTTCACTGCAAAATCATATTGTTTAGAGAATGAATTCATAAAATTTAAAGGAGAATAAGATATTTAAATATATCTTTAATATAATTGTAAGAAATTATAGGTAGTGATACAATATTTAAGCTTGAAAATATAAAAACAAACACAGAAGAAAATATAAATGGATTCTATTACTGAAAATGTGAGTATTCCACATCACATATCATACAGAAAATATAATATCAAAGAACTAACTAAAAATATTATATGACCTAATGTTATATGAGCTAATACACTGTCATATATAAAGGATTTATACAAATTGATAAGGAAAACACATATAAAATTTGAAATAAAATTTAAAAAATAAATTAACAGTTCACTAAAACACAGCAAATAAAGTGGTTAGAATGTCAAATAATGTCGATAACAAAAGACATGTCAATGAAACTGACTATTTTTACCTATTATATCAGTAATGATTTTTTTAAAAAAAAATTCCTCTACCTACCAGTCATTATCTTGAATTTCTTCTATGCATATAATTTGGCAAAAAATTTTGGCAATAATTTATCAAACAGTTTAAGTGTATGGATCCAGTAATTCTACTTTTTAGTAATACATTCTAAGAATATAAACCTCTTTCTAGACAAAAGTAAAAGTTAAACATATTCATAATCATATCAACCTAAGTGCCCATCAATGATAGACTGGAAGAAAATGTGGCACATATACACCATGGAATACTATGTAGTCATAAAAAGAATGAGTTCATGTCCTTTGCAGGGACATGGATGAAGCTGGAAATCATCATCCTCAGCAAACTAACACAGGAACAGAAAACCAAACACCATATATTCTCATTCATAAGGGGGAGTTGAACAATGAGAACATATAGACACAGGGAGAGGAACATCACATACCAGGGCCTGTCCAGGGGTGGGGGCTAAGTTGGGGGAGGGCATTAGGACAAATACCTAATGCACACGGGGCTTAAAACCTAGATGATGGGTCGATGGGTGCAGCAAACCACCATGGCACATGCATACCTATGTAACAAACCTGCACATTCAGCACATGTATCCCAGAACTTAAAATAAATTTTAAAAAAAGAAAAAGAAAGAGAGAGAAAAAAAGAAAAGAAAGAAGAAAGAAAGAAAAGAAAGAAAGAAAGAAAGAGAGAAAGAAAGAAAGAAAAAGAAAGAGAAAGAAAGAAAGAAAGAAAGAAAGAAAGAAAGAAAGAAAGAAAGAAAGAAAGAAAGAAAATAAATAGGAGACTTCAGAGAAAATAACAGATAAGAATCAGGCCTAACTTGCAGCTCGCACCTGGACAGACAGAGCAGCAGGTGGAGCTAAGCTGTGGGGACACAAAACCGTAAGAATGACACAATTGTCTCTGGGGACTTAGGGGAAAGGGTGGGAGTGGGTTGAGGGATAAAAGACTACACATTAGATACAGTGTACACTGCTCGGGTGATGGGTGCACCATAAATCACCACAAAAGAACTTATTCATGTAACCAAACACAATCTGTTCCCCAAAACTTATTGAAATAAAAAAAAAGTAAAATAAAATAAATGAATATTGAAATCAACATCTAAAAGTCAGGTGAAAGTTAAATAGTATGCCCTATATATACCTGACGAATATTATAAACTTAAAAGTTATATTTAGGATAGTTTTATTACTAGTAGTAATGTTATAACAATATAATAAAAGCACACAAAATTGGATATACAAAATAAATAAGCTATATAAAAAACTTGAGTTTTTATGAATAGTTTTAAAAAGGTTGATGATGATTATTTCTTCATTTTTTATGATTTTTAATACTTAATTTTTTCTCCTATAAGCATGACTTAATTTATGACAAAATTAGAAAACAAGCACAATTTTATAATAAAAATTTATTAAGCATTAATTTAGCAAAAATATGAGATTGATTTTAGCCTGGTATTTGAAAAGGTGGACAGCTGAGCAGTTTGGTATAAAAATATTCTTAATCAAAAATTGACCTTTTCTAATAGCAGATTCATAGACACCATAATGCCTTCATTTTCCTAGAGAAAGTAGAAGAAAAGAACATGAGTAATCTGGCTATTATCGGTAAGATGTAAATATAACTAATGTCTACTGTGAGAAATACTTTTACAAAAGGGCTACGGATCTGTCATCCCCAAATGGGAAGACCTGTACTAGGGTCTCATTGCCTCAGCATAGATTTAGCAGCTAGTGGGACATATGGTACAGGAAAGCCTCATCACAAAGAGAGGAGAACATGACTCACAAAAACTGACTTTTGGGTGAAGAGAGACAAACATTGGCTATACATCACATTTCCAATGACTTTACTTTCTGCATACATCAGAATCCAATATTCCCCATTCTCTGAGTAGTTCCTTGAGGGAAATTAGACATAAAGGATTTTCTAGCTGACCACTATTGGGCTACCATTAGTTATACAACCATTGTACTATGACTGATGTCATATAAAACCAGGGTTTCGCTGGGGGTCACTAAGAAAAGGCAAATAACACGAGCCTCTATAACTAGTGGGCAGCTGACATGCCATCATTATTCTCCATTCTATCCAGACTTTCTGAATAGACTAAGCAGGGAGCACCCAAATCCACTTCTAGAATATATTTACCTGAGTTGCTTCTTATGAGTTTTAATTCCCAGGAAAGAGATAGAAATATCGTGTCATGGATAGTCTTTCAATGGTGGGCAGCTGGGTCAGTATATTTGGGGTCTCAAATGAATGTTGAACCTAAAATGGTAAAGAAAGCCTTTAGAGATGTTCTAAAAGGAAAACCTGACTCAGGAGTGAGAAAAGTCATGGTGTGTATTAAGGTTGTAGCTAAGTAATGTAAACAGAAGATATTTTTAGCTTTTCCTTAGGTATAGCACATTCACAAATGAATTGTTACTCTAAAAAGAATTCCCTGGGTGAACAAAGCTATCAGAGTCAGGTTATTGGGAAAACCCACAATGGTTCTATGTAGCATTTTGGAAGACCCCATCTTTGAATAAACTTGGAGTACAGGAAGGATTGTCAAGATGAATTAGAGCTTTGGGATTTCTTATAAAAATTCACAAATGGTTCTCCAAAGTTTTCTGGGGCATAACATTGAAAATAAAAGAAGACCCTACCTTTTGAAAAATTTCCTCTAGATGATGACTCCAAGAATACTCTCTGAAGTAGTAGATAATTTGGGAAATGAAGACAGAGCCATTTGTTTCATGTCTCCAAGAAACATTATCTGCAAATAAAAGGCATCAAAATATTGGAGGATGTGATCTTTTATACATGTGGAAGACTCCTGGAGACATAACTTTGGGAAAAAAAATCTGATTTTGTTTCTTTGGAGAAGAGAGGGAAACCAATGCTAAATAAAGATGGACCTCCAACTTCCATACCAGGCCCAGAAAAAGCCATCATGGACCTTCCTCACTCATAAATCACCTTGATTTTCTAGTAGGCTAGACCGAAGTGATATCCTCTGGGTTTGCAAGTAGTGGAAAAGAGTGTAAGTCCTTTCAGCACTAACTACATAACAGAAAAATAATACAGCCTTGACATTCCTTGATTCTGGGAATGTCATCCTGAGTTGTTTCATACTATATTTTTTTTGCACTTTTTGTTATGTTGTATAAAAATATTTTCAAGGACTGCTTCTGTTTACCATTTCAAGATGACCAAGTTGCTCCTATAATTTAGAAAAAAAGGCAATACTTCTCTAACTACTACTTTATTTGCCGCCAGCTGCTGATTTCTTCTTACTTTTTAAAGTCAAAATTCCAATTCGGTCTATATTCACCATTCCATTTCCCTTATCCTGCTCACTCCTATCAGGCTTCTCCTTCCTATACCTAACATCAGCTTTGCCAAATGGCTTTCCCCAAGGTAACCATTACCTCCAAGTTACTAAATCGAATAGTCATTCATCAAGCCTCACCTTCACCTGATCTTTCATTCACATTAAAGTCTGACAACGCATACTCCTTGTGTACTTTCTTATTCTCTGATTCTACTTTGTGAGTCAAATTTGCTGGTTCCTATTTCTCTAATATTGAACTCTAGGGTAATTTTAACCTCCATTTCAAGGCCTCTTCTCATGCGATTCTCAATTCTTAGATGATTTCATCCATTTTTAAGATATTAAATATTATCCTTAGGGCAGCATCTCTCAAAATTTTATCCTGAATGCAAATCTCTCCTCTGAAATATACAACTGTGCCACTCTCTACTCTTCATTTCATCTTAAAATATGCCAAAGCACTTCAAAACTTACTGCAAAACTCACGTTTTAATTGATGCCCCACCATTTACTTGCATGCTGGAGTCACTTCTATCACACCTTCTTGTTCACCTGACATATATTCACCAAACCACTGGGTGGTTAGTCATATTATTTTTGTATACTAATTGTTTCTTAGATACAACTTATTACATCCCAAGACTATCAGTATCATCTATGGCTTGCAATATTGTGCTAGCATTTAACCTGTCCTCATGTATCGACTCTTGCTGTACTATAATTTATTCCACACTGAACCTCCAGAATGGTCTTCAAAAACAAAAATCTTATCATTTAATTGCTTACAGCCTACTAGAATTTCCTGTTACTATTAGTATGAAGGACCATGTAAGGCCTCAGGTGTTTCAGTGCCTGCCTCACTCTCCAGCCTCTCCACTAGCATCTCTCCTGATGCTGTGTTCCAGCCACTCAGCCTCCTCTCCTAAGCTCCTTTTTTGTCTGTAAGTTCTCCATATGCACTGCCTTTCCTGACTAAAAAGTTCTGCTCTTACCCTTCATTTGTTAACTCCTTCATTTCTCAAATGTGAACACATATTTTTTAAGGCTTTTACCAGAGTTGACAATTATTATTTATTCTTCTTATATTGTAACTGTGTTTTTCCCACAGTTAGTGCCTGCCTTTCTGACTGCAAACTCCATGAAGTTCAGTAACCATACCTGCTTTAATTGTGCATCCTATGTCCTGCACCAAGCCCAGGCCTAGCACACAATTACATGTAAAAGAAAGAAGGAAAGAAGGAAGGAAGGGAGTAAGGAAGGGAGGAAGGAAAAGAGAGAAAGAGAGAGAGAGAGAGAGAAAGAAAGAGGGAAAGAGAAAGAAAAGAAAGAAAGAAAGAGAGAGAGAGAGGGAGGGAGGGAGGGATCGAGAGAGGGAGGGAGGGAGGAAGAAAGGAAGGAAGGAAGGAAGAAAGGAAGGAGAAAGAAACAATTTTGCATATTATATTGTATTTCCCAAACTAAATTAAGTATACTTTCAAAATTTGTACCAGGCCTTATATACCTCTTTAACTTCCTTCAACAGCTGTAAGTGTAGAACTTATTATTCAAATAAAACTTATTAAAACTCGAATACATTACATGAATAGAAGGGAAGCTACTCTAGTTATTTATTCCCCAGGCTGGACTCAGAGTGTCCTCTAGTCCCTCAGTGCTCACATGCAGCCACAAACAACAGCCCTAATCACAACAAAGCTTTTAAGAAAGGCAGAAAGTCAGGCCCCACCCCAGACCTACTGAATAAGAAATCTACTGAATAAGCAAACTACTGAATAAGAAATCAAGTGATTTCTATGTTGATTAAAATTTGAAATCCCTAAATTGAGCATTTAGAACTGTGAACTGTGCAAAGGAGGTATTTAAAAATTGCTCCTGTTCTCCAAATCATTGATAGAATAATATTGTGGATGATCGTTAAAGAGATTTCCTGCAATTCTGACCATGAGCGGTCAAGAATATTCTCTATTTTTCCATTGTATTATGACTTTCCTGCCAAAGGACTGATTTTTTATTCAGTGACTTCACTATCCTAAATTAGTTAACATTTAGGCATTTAAATGTTAACTAGTTTCCTGAAACTAGATTAATAATAATAGGTCAAGAGTTACTGGGATGTGTGGAGCAAGTATAATGGTTTTAGTGGTTGGCTTCTTTAATTGCTGGGAAGTGGCTGTGGAGCTACACTGTGAGAAAATGATACCTTTCTGTGCCATTGCTACATTCTAAAAACAAAATCAAATAATGCCTCACTTTTTGTAGTTAGATTATTCCAAGTCTTGATGCTCACCAAAGTCCTTCCAAAGTCCTGTTAACTTTGAACGTTTCTTCCCAAATCAAGATTTATAGCTTTCTAATTATGAAAGTCTCAGCATTTTAAATCTTTTCTCCACCTAAAATATCCTGGTAATTAGAGAAGAAATGCTCTTTTCGGTGATAAGATATGATCATAGCCAAGCCTACTATCTAGAAACCTACTAAGAAATTTAGAAATTATTCTCTCTGAAATCACTTACGTGGTGTGGAAGATTTGAAAGCAATGAAGTCCTTTTCCACATGAGCCTTTGTAACAGCATCATTACAGATGTTACCTTGCAAGAGCCGACCATGAGTATCTGCACTGGCTTTTCCACTGTCAGTGGTGAACCAAACAATCCCAGCACCATCTGGGAGAGACATTATGTCTAATTAAAGAAGAGATATTTATAAATACACACACATACACATACACACACACATACACATATGCACACACATACTCATATGCACAAACATCCACATATGCACACACATACACATACACACGCACATACACATATGCATAGACATACACACAAATGCACACACATATTTACACACATACACATACATATGCACACACATACACACATATGCATACACACATACACACATACGCATATACATATGCATACACACAGACTCTCTCTTTTACACTGATATCTTTACTTAAGTATATTTTATCATGGCATTACTTAAAAATGCAAGTACCTTACTACTAGAAATACCGCCTCACTTACTGGGAACAAAACAGACCCCACTTGAGTTTAGAACAACCATGTTGACAACATAGTCCCAGATGATTGGGATGTTTCCAATCATTGTACTTATAGTTTCTTTAAAAAATGGTAGGGACTTAATACAATTTCGAAGTGCACTGGACCTAGTAGTACTGAAATGTTGTTTCTCTTGCCCATCCCTAAGAAAATGAACACCAGGCTAATTTTTAAAAGTGCACAGCCACTCCCTGGGGTCTCAAAATCAAGATTTACAGCTTTCTAATTGGGGACTCACTGCCTCGGCAGGCTTGCATGATGATGACCTTGGGTTTGTCTTTCAGACTCTGGCAGTTACGGTTGTTGAAAATTTCAAAGATGGTGTCATCGTGAAGAACATCTGGCTCTTGATCCCAGTGCTTGGTCCCACAGATTCCATTCAGGATGCTATGTGACATAAACACCAGGAATGTGCTGTCTGAGGACTGGTGCTCTGGGTGAGCAGCAAACTGCCTTAGTGCTGTTTCCATTTCCTGAAAGAGACCCTTGAGTCACTATCGAGGAAGTCTCCATGTGTATGTAGTTTGTAATCAAATAATGGGTAGGGTTCACAAAAAGGAGCCAGCACTGAGGAATCAGATGGTTTAGACTGAATAGGATTATAAGATAAACAGTGTTCTGACATAAAACTAGAAAATTTAGCTGTATAGAATATTAAAGTTAGTAGGGTTTTTATGTAGTATCTTGCCCAGTGGTTTTTAGTAAAACCTTAGGTTTCTGAAGATGCTGGGAGATGGAATAAAATGAAGGCCAAGTGAGATGACAATACACCAATAGGACCATTTTGCTATAATATGTTTAATGATGGAACTCTTGTAAGTTTTTATTTAAAAGATAAAACTGACAAATATTAAAAATATGAAATTCATTCACTATGGAGCAGCAGAAAGTTAGTTTAAAATGGTCTCTCTAAAGTTTTGCAAAATAGAGCTAGAAACACAACTGTTTCATTACATATTTGTGTGTGTGTGATTTGTTCCCCCTATACCTGCCTTTACATTAAGACACTTGCTCATGCCATTGTAAAAATCTCACAAGATAATTCTGTAGGTATCAGACATTTCAGGGTGCAGAGCTTTTGTCTTATGCAGACCATCAAGTAGTAGCTGTCTCCCAGATTGTGAACATCGAAAGACCCAATATTTTTACTAAAACTCTGCTACGTAGAATTTCTGTAAATACACACACACACACACACACACATACGCATACTCATATGCTATAAGACTGTGCATTAGAGAAGGCTAAAATCCAGGGGATCCTATTCTGGAGAAAATATAATTCCTATAATATCATACATCTTGCTCTTTCAGCTGCCAATTAAGAGGTAAGAGGTTGAAAAGTGTCTAAAGGTGGAGGTGGAGGGGAAGCAGCTTGTTCTTCTCTCTGGAGCCATTACCTGAGCTGTGAGATTCTCTTTTATAACCACTGAGTATCCAAGGTTTTCAAGTAGATCTCGCATCCCCAAAAGGTCAAGTTCAGAACCATTTCGATTATGAAGATAGTTGAATTCTTTGTTGCGGATGTTGAGGCCAGGCATGTTCGCCTCTCTTTCTCCATCACTGGATATATCTGCAATTAATACACACAGAATGACTTTCCCCAGGACTTTTCTCTTTTGCCTGCAAAGTTCATACACAACAGGCCAATATAAATATAGAGTAAGTGACACAAAGTTTCTGCATGAAAATACACCCTCGTGAGGAAAGAGGCAGAAAACCAGACTGAAAGCATGTATGTGGTGTAAGTGTTCACTGTATGAAGTTGGCTTAAGTTAGGTGGTGGAGAGTTTAGACTGTGTCCCAAAATAAGATGGAAGAAACAGAAAATGTAATGTGAAGACCAATTGGTTAGATAATTTCCTGATCTTAAGGCCTTTGTGACGAGAGCTAAACCATTCCAGTAAGTCCCCAGTGTCTTGTCTGAATGAGTAATCTTGTGTCTCCGTATTTCAAAGCATATCACCTCATCTGCCCTTTTTGTCTTTAGTTCATGGAAGTGAGCATGAGGACAAAGCTTTAACTTGCCACTGGGTTGGGCACCCTGGATTTCCAGAAAAGCTGAAAGAGAGAAAAAAATTCTGTGGCATAGTAAGCAGTAATGTCTGCTGCCTTGCAACACTGCAGATCCTTTTGCTAGGCTCTCATTCCTCAAAACTGCTTACTGCCAGTCCATGAAAAAGTTTCATAAAATGAGAAAATTGCTTCATATTTAAAATGCCTAAAGCAAAAATATTGAGTACATCCCTATTTTCCTTCTGCTTCTTACTGACCTGGTTATCAATTTGTGTGTTTTTGTTAGTGCTCACAGCATGAACTTATCTTTCAGACCCAACACATTAGCATCGTATAAACACAGAAACTAAGATTCAGAAGGAAGTGTAATGTTTATCTAGCCTAGTGGAATCAGTACTCAGCTATTTCATGTCACTTGAAATATCCCTTCTTTATTATTACCATTCTCTGAGACATCTCCCCTTTCATGGAACTCAAAACATTCCAAGGCATTCTTGAACAGTTATGTGTATTACAATCTGTGTACCTTCTAGGTATTGATAGGTATTTCCCACCTCAGAATCATACAGAAAACATTTAATTCATTTCCCTGTAAAAGCCCATGAATTCTTCCATGACCAACATGTCTTTCCCTATTTTTTCATTCTTACATGAAAATACCTTCAACATAAACAACTATTGCATTGTACTTTAATTGTGTTTACTGTACTATAACCTTAATTAGGATAGAAAAGGTGGTCTTCTATCTTTGTATTTCCAGTATATTAGAATAGTATCTACCAAGATTGCTAGTTTATAAATTCTGTTAGTGAATAGTTATCCTCAAATACTTGAAAATAGCTACAAGGTATCCCCTGGTTCTTTGTTCCCTTAGGGCAACAAACCTTCTATTTCTTTTCATAGTTTTGGGTAAGAAATATTTCATCTTTTAACCACCAAATCCATTAATTTGCCTACATCTCTGCTCACCTCCTCTACTTTCTCTTTGGCTACATAAAACATGTGTCCTTCCTCCTATCTAAGATCACCGCCTCTACCTGAGCTCTCAAATCCATCCCCTCCCACCAACAAGGGTTTTTCTCAGGTATTTATTCAGCTTCAGGTTCTATGACATCATTCATTCTCTTCCTCTTTTCCCACAGACTTATTCCTATTGACAGCAGCATGACTTAATATATATCATTTTTTTAAAAAAAACCTTCCTGTTTCCTTGCCAATTATTGGCCCATATCACTACTTTACTTCTCTACACAATGCCTGAAAATCATTTTGTTTTTTGCTATTTCCAATTTTTCTGTCTTATGATTTTTGTATGCAATCCAATCCAGCTGTTATCCTCAATCCTTAAATAAAATATAGTTATCAAACTACCACTGATTATATGTTGATTTCTTAGCATTCACATGGCATTCTCTAGGCTTCTGTAATGCTGCATTTTCCAGCCATTCTTCCTAACTCTGTCTGTCTTAGTTGTTGGTTCTTCCTCTTCCACAATGCCTCCAAAAGTTGTGCTTTTCTATGCCAGACACTCTGTTATTCTCTATCAATGCTCTTTCCCATGTGGCATCTTCCAGTCTCAATATCTTAAAAACTATCTACATACTGACGAATCTCCAGATTTTTCCCAGTCCAGATTTCTCTGTGAGCCCATCCATTTGCCTATTCAACATCCACCACTGGAGGTACCACATGTTCCAAAGTAAGCATACAAAACAGGACCCTGATATTGTGCATTCCTTCAAATCTGTGTCCCCTGCACACCTGTTTTCTCTGACTCAGTAAATGGCACCATACACCCCAGTTGCCAAGCCAAAAACCTAGTCATTATTAATTCTTTCCTTTCTTTCACATCCCATATCCAATCCATTAGTCAATTTGCATTGATTCTGCTGCCAAAACTAGGTCTCAAATTTAACAACTTTTCATCAGCTCTATTGCCATAAACCCAGTCTAAAAGCTATTGTTTTTCTAACTGAAATATTTAAACCGCTTTCAACTGGCCTTTGTGATGCGACGCTTATCCTATCACTCCTCGTTTAACAGCTTCTAAGGTAGTGTAAATGAAGGCAGGATGCATCATTTATCATTTTTCTGCTGTAGACATTAGGACATGCCCTTGCAGTTACAACCTACTTGGCTCAATTAGCATGTAATGATTTCAAAATTGGCAGTGAAATTAAAGGGAGAATTGAGAGTACGGAGGGAAGAAAGTAAAAGGAAAGAAGGAGAAAAAGAACAGAGGAAAAAAAGAGAGAAGGAAAAAACAGAAACAAGAAAAAGAATGTCAATGGGAAAGAAAATAAAACAGATGATAAGAAAGGAAAAATGAAAGAGATGGAGAAAGAAAAGTGGGAGATTAAAAGCTCCTTTATTTTTTAAAAAACTCTCAGTTGGAAACACCTTATTTACATTTTGGTAAAAGGGAGTACCAAGTTCTTACTCAGGGCAATTTATCATATGTCATATTACTTCTGCTTTTTAATGTCAACTTATTTTATGTAAACTAAGATAAAACTTAGCTTCCATAAAAACATTCTTTAATACTCACACAAGTTTAAGCACTTGTTTTAGAAATAGATGTTAACTGTAATAGATGGCCAGGAAGAACAGAGGCTATGCAACACTCCTGGAATTTGTAAGGATCCTCGACTGCTAATAAACAGTTGTCTAAAAAAGATTCCAAAAAAAGAAAAAAAAAAGCAAAAACAAAACCCTGCAACGTTTTATATTGCAAATAAAATCCCGGCCTGTCTCTTTAATAGCTCCATTTATACTCCCTCTAATTTCCTACTCTCCAGTCAGATTGGCTGTGACCCTCTTACACAGCAAGAGCATTACTGTCTCAGGGTCCTTGCTCTTGTTTCCCCTTTCTAGAGAACACTTTTGTTTCAGAGTTTGGCACAACTCCTTCCCCACAGTTCAAGTATGTACTGAAATGCCACCTCTGGGGAGAAGTTATGGCTAAACATCCTGGCTCACTGGCCTTTTCTTGATGCATATCCAAGAATTGGGAATATACTTATTTATGTATTACAGTCTGGAGTAGGAATCAGCAAACCATGGCCTATGGGTCAGATTCAGCCCAACACCCAGTTTTATAAATAATGTTATACTGGGATACACATCAACACACCCATCATGCACTTATGGTCTATTGCTGTTTGTGAGCTACAATAGATGATTTGAGTCATGACAGGGGCCACATGGTCCAGAAAGATTAAAATATTAATTATCTTTCAAAGAAAAAGTGTAGCAACCCATGTTCCAGAGAGAAGGAAACATCTATACCCCACTGACCCATGAATTCCCTATTCCTTCCTTAAATAGAAATCTAGATTTCCAGACATTTCTTTCTGGGGCAAAGCCACAGCTAAGCAAAAGATAATAGATATCCCCTATTGTACATTCTGTATCTGGGAATGACTCTAACGTCCACTTTGTGCAACCAGAGTAGCCCAGAATAGCTAAAGGCTATCACTGAATTTAATGTATCCAACACCATTCCTTTATTTAACAGATATTTACTGAGCACCTATTATGTTTCAGGTATCATTTCCATGTGTTTGGGATATATTCATGAACAAAGCAGACAAAGACCCCCCACATGGTGGAGTCTACATTTCAGCAGAGGGAGACATAATAATATAATGAATAAGTAAATTGTATGGAGTGATATGGTGAGTATTGTTAAAGAAAAAAGTATACAGCAGTGTAAAAGTAATTGGGGATGATCAAGGTATTTTGTGACATTAAATAAGATAGACAGGAGGTCAGGCCCAGTGACTCATGCCTGTAATCCCAGCACTTTGGGAGGCTGAGACAGGAGGATCACCTGAGATCAGCAGTTTGAGACCAGTCTGGGCAACATGGTGAAACCCTGTGTCTACTAAAAAATAAATAAATAAATAAATAAATAAATAAATAAATAAATAAATAAATAAATAAAATTAGCCAGGCATGGTGGAGGATGCCCATAAAATCAGCTACTTAGGAGGATGAGACAGAAGAATTGCTTGAACTGGGGAGGTGGAGATTGCAATGAGTTAAGATTGCACCATTGCACTCCATCCAGCCTGGATGACAACAGCAAGCAAAATACTCTGTCTTAAAAAAAAAAGAAAAAAAAAAAAAGATTGGTGAAGAAGGTCCTAAGATGGGCATAGTTTATTCTCCACTTGGAGAAAGGAAAAATAAAGAAGACAAAAACTGAATAAGAAGAGTAGAGAAAGAATAAGAATGAATTACTAGCTGTTAGCCCCACAATACTCACCTGAACTCAGCTGTTTTTTGGAATTCCACAGGTGTTCCCTAAATATTTTGCCTGCAATTTGAGCTGTCTCAGTGATATCATCAACCAGGTTTTCAGCATTGCTCACCACAAACTTTAGACATTTTCCTATAAGGTGTATCTCATCTGTATTTAACACATTATTTTCCATCAAATCATCAAAAATGCCATCTAGAAAGGTCTTGATCAGCAACTTCACCATGTGGACCAGAACACCGTTGGATGGTTTCTCATCTGTGAAAATGATAGAATCTTAGATATGGACAGAACTTTAGATCCCCATTCTAGGGTAGTGGTTCCCAAATTTTAACGTGCATAAGAATCACCTAGAAAGCTTAGTAAGCAGAGCTTCCTGCATCCTAGTCCAAATAATTTTTATTTGATAGGTGAGAATGGGCCCATGAATTTTCATTTATAACAATTTCTCAGGTGATGCCAAAGCCTCTGGTGCAAGGACCACACGTGGAGAAGCTCCTGTCTTGTTCAATTCTCTCCATTTTCATAGATGGTGAAATAGATTCAGGGAAGCAAAGTGAATTCACTAAGGAACTTAGTGACAGCTGACTCAGTTTAGTCTTTACATCTCCTACGATCTCTTCATTTTCTTTCACTTTTATCAATAACTAGTTTGAAAAGACATTACATTCAATATGTGTAGCATAAATGCATTCATCTGTAAAATAACACCTTTTTTGTTTCCCTTATCAAGGCTGGCAGGGAAGCTCGGTATGCGCAGATTGAGCACACATGTTGTAGCTGACCCATTTGCTGCTGTAATTGAAAGTTCACACAGAGAGCAGAAATGTGGAGGAAATGCAAGTTACCTGTTCAACCGCCTGGCTTCTCACCCTCACCGTAACAGAACACTTATAAAATGGGTGAGAATTTCGGGTCAGTATGAGTTAAAAGAAGAGTCTAAAATCAAAGGAAAAGTTTAAGAACAGAAATCCAGGTGTTTCTACATTTCTCTTTCATTTGAGAAGTTGTAACATATTAATGAAGACACTTGGTTTGCATTTTTAGTGCTGTGCCGGAAGCTGACATATCTCCCTCCATACCCAGAGTAAAATAGTTAGCTTTTGGGAGACCCCCTCCACTCTGCCTTCTTCTTTCCCTTGAATATAACGTTCTCAAAGGACAGCCATAAACAACAGAAAAACTGAAGCCACTCACCAGCCATGGCTTCTCCTGCTCCCCGGACAGGAAAAAGCTGTGAAAGCAAAAACAATTTCAACAGGCTTGCTCTCCTCTCAGTGGACCAGCTTGTTGATATTACCCTGAATGGAAAATTCCCAGTCCTCAAATTCTCTTTTTCTTTGCCAAGATAAAATTAGACTCTGATCTCGTGTATAACTGCTTTCCTTTGGAAAATAGGAAGCAGAAGGTGTTTTCTTCTTTTTGACATAACAAAGTGAACAGAATGAAATCATGTACACTTGCATGAGAACCCGTCTCTGTGTTCTGTTTTCCTGTCTATTTTTAACACTGTTAATAAATTAAGTTAAATCTCTGTTTGTCTGTCTGATGCCATCAGCCTCTAAATGGTCAGGAGTCTTTACTTCACTGATACTTACTCAACCCCGGAAGTGTGATTTTGGAAGTTAAGGGAAAGAGGCTAACTGAAGACTGCCAAATGGTGATACTCCCTTCACTATTTGAGAAACTCACATAAGTGATCTCTTTTCTTCTCTTTCCTGATCCACTCATTTTTAAATTGGGATGTTGTTTTTCCACAAGATCAATGTATTTTTGTTCATTAAATGAACAAGAGGCTCTTTCACTTATTTTTGAAACAGATATATGTGTGCCATTAAAATCAAACAACAGAAAAGTTTATAAAATGGAAAAATGTAGATTATTTAATTTCACATGGCAAGGTAATCACAACGATACGTTTAGCTTGTATCTGTGTGTAATATTTTAAATAATTTTACAAAACACTTAATGCAATACTGATCTTATCCATGGCTCTAATCAATGGCCTCCTAGCATTTTTTGGCCTTTACTTTATTCTGAACTGGCCTTATAGGTTGGTTTTGGCCAGCATGATGGAGCAGAGGGATCTGAAGGAGTTTCCAGTCTGAGTTTTACAAATCCTTGTGCCCTTCTTCCTCTTGAACACCTGAAGCTAAATGAGGATAAGCCTGGGCTAGATTGCTAGCTGAATAGAGACCTCATGTGGAGAAGAGCCCAGTCATCCCAGCCAAGGCCAACCTAGGCCAGCCTCCAGCCAAGTGTTTTCCCAACCTATGGGGTATCCCAGCCTTGTCAGCAGAGATGCCTACCCTACACACAGATGATCTCAGACACAATCCTAGCAGTGACAAAAAGAAACATTCAGCTGACTGGCCACCTTGTAATAATAATAAATGCTTCTTGTGTGAAGCCACTGTATTTTGGGGTGTTTTGATACTCAACAATAGATAACTAACAGACACATAATTACCTACAGATTGTTTTTTGTTTTTTCTATAGTGGCAGTATCTTAAAATTATATTATTGATAATTTGCTTTATTTAACTTCACAATGTGTGACAAACATTTTAAAAAATCAACACATGAAACACTATCTGATTTTTGATGGCTGTATACTATTTAAAATGTGGATAGATTACAATTTTTAAAAGTTTTGTCAGTAGTACAGAAAACACTACAATAAAAATCAGATTTTTATGCTTTTCATCTTTGGTCCCACAAACTAGGTGTAATTTCTCTGTTATTTGCTTTATTTTTTGCTAACAATCTTTGGAACACCCAGTGATGCCTGTTTTATCTATTTCATGATACAAAAATTACAAACAATGCTATTAACTGTCTCATATGAAAAATGAGATGTAGCTCATTCACACTGCGAATTCTCTCTCCTATTCTATCTTATATTTGATAATAGTGTGATTTCCAATTATTTCCTTGATTCATTTTGAAATAATAATATACCTAACTCTCACTTCTTCTTTCATCAATTTTGCATAGTAGCTTAATTCTCCTCTGTGTAAGTTGATCAGAGTTTCCTGGGTGCAATTTACTCCATCTCTTCTCACCTCCAATTAATACCATTTTTTCCCAATTTCCTATTGTGGTAAAAATACATACCCCCGGCCAGGCACAGTGGCTCACGCCTGTAATCCCAGCACTTTGGGAGACCAAGGTGGGCAGATCACGAGGTCAGGAGATGGAGACCATCCTGGCTAACACGGTGAAAACCCGTCTCTACTAAAAATACAAAAAGATTAGCTGGGTGTAGTGGCAGGTGCCTGTAGTCCCAGCTTATCGGGAGGCTGAGGCAGGAGAATGGCTTGAACCTGGGAGGCAGAGCTTGCAGTGAGATTGGGCCACTGTACTCCAGCCTGGGTGACAGAGGGAGACTCTGTCTCCAAAAAAAAAAAAAAAACCCAAAACAAAAACATACCCCCAAATTGACCATCTTAACATTTTTACATGTGGTGTTTGGTGATAATAAATACATTCATAATGTCATAACAGTCACCCCAATCTACCTCCAGAATTCTTCTTTATCTTGTAAAACTGAGATTCTAGATCATTAAATAGTAACTCCCCATTTCCTCCTACCCACTGTCCCTGACCATCACCATTCTACTTTCTGTCTTTATGAATTTGAGACCCTAGGTACCTCATATGTAAGTGAAATCATACAGTGTTGGTTTTTCTGTTGCTGCCTTATTTCACATAGCCTAATGTTCTGAAGGTTCATTCATATTGTAACAAATGTCAGAACTTTGTTTTTAAGGCTAAAATTCCATTATGAGTGTATACCACATTTTGTTTATCCATTTATCATTTATTGGTTAGTTGTGTGGCTTCCACATTTTAGATATTGTGAACAATGCTTCTATGAATGTGGGTGTATAAATAAATCTTTGAGACCCTGCATTCAATTATTTTAGGTACGTACCCATAGATGGAATTTCTGGATCATATGGTAACTCCACTTCTAATTTGTGCAGAACTTTCATGCAGCTTTCCTCAGTAGCTGTACCAATTGAAATTCTCAACGACAGATCACAGGGTTCTAATTATTCTACATCCCTGCAAACACTTGTTATTTTCTGTTTGTTTGTTTGTTTGTTTTGATGGGAATCATTCTAATGGGTATGAGGCGCACTACGTCACTATAGTTTTCGGCATCATCTTCTTTCATCCTATTGTTGGGGCTAAGTCACAGTCAGTTTTCTTCATCAGATATTACATGAGGTATAAAGATCAAAAATCCAGTTAGCTTCTTCCACTTCATTTAGACTCACCCACCATTTTCAGTGAAATTATATTCTCTATTAAAAAAAGAAAAAGACACAGTTCATTTGTCTTCACCTTTATTGAAATACAAAATGTTAAGCATTCAATCTGTACTAGTAAAGGTGTTTCTTGAAGTTGATAAAGGAGGGCTGGGCTGCTTGTGGTTTCCTGCTGGGGAGAGAAAGAACAGAAGGTCAAGATGGTTACCCCTTGCTGCCTTCATCCCATCCCTCATCATGATTCTTCTTCCATCCTCTTCCATTTGCTCTTGACACTTCCCTTGACTTCCATCTGTGATCTGTTAATCTTTTCACTGAAATGTGATCTTTGTAAAACCTAAAACCTAAGTAAAATTATGTTACTTCTCTTTTCTAAAGCACTAGAAAGGCTTCTTGTCTCAGTGAGACAGTAATTTTTAAAGGTTTACCATGTGATAACCAAGAACCATGAGATCTGGCTTCCCACTGCTTCTCCTAATTTGTCTCTGCCATTTTCCCCACTCATGTTCTCTTTTGGTCACACTGTCTCATTGCAGTTCTTTAAACATGTTTAGTGCATTGCTATCCCAGGGCATTTGCACTGGCTGTATTCTGTGCTGGGACACTTTTCCTGCATAAGAACCATATGGTTCACTTTCCAACTCTGTCCATTCTTTGTTCTCATTTCATTATTTCAAGGAAGTCTTTCCTGAGTGAAATATCTATAGGAGTACAGCATCCATCATTTTGTGTGTTCCTTTATCATCATTTATTTTTCCTCTTAGCCTTTTATTTTATTTTATTTTTTGTGTTTCGGCTTGTGATATATTTACCTATTTGTGTATTCAGAGAATGCTTCTCCTCACTAGTATATAAACTTTCTGAGTGTAAGGAATCTATCTACTTTGTTAATTGGCATACTCCAATTAGAACAGAACCTGGTGCATGGTTAATGTTGCAAATGTTAGTCAAACAAACAACTCAATGCCCAAATATAGCCCCATTGGATGGATTAGGCACTGAAAGCTGTTATGCTGAAATGATACAATATTGTGACTGGAGTGTAGTGTCAGAAACCAAGAGTAAAAGATGATGTGGCAAATATTGGAAGTATTGAGATAACCTTTACACAGTTGAGTATAGAATATAATTTTAATTATGTATCTGAGATGGAGATTAATAATAGGATTATAATATAGCGTTAAATGAAGATGCTATGAGTGAAGAATGTAGTCATTTGGTCCAGATTGAATGTACCCAATCTATAACATTTTTATCAAAAGAACGAAAATAAAAGTATATCTATTAACACGAGAGCTTGAAGGAACTTCTGGAAAGGGTTGAGGGTCTGAAAACAGTCTCTCAGTGATTTGTGATCTGCATTATGAGAACATTCTGAGAACGAGAGACTGGATCAACACAAACTCTACACTGTAGGGTTTATTTTCTACTGTCTGATAAGGGTACCTGAACACCAGTAATGTGGTATTTGCTGTGAAATCCTCACTCAGAAAATCAAAGTACTGCTTTCTGCAGAGTTAGTGCCTCTGTTTTCTCATTTTTGTTCAGATTGATGCAATGTTTGGTAACTCAGTATGTGTTTGTGTGTGTGTGTGTGTGTGTGTGTAAGAAAAGGAGAGAAAAAGGTAGAGTATGAGATGTAAATGAATATAAATAGTAATGGATGCAGGAGTATGTTTCTATTTTAATAAGTGCTACCCTGGGTTTTTTATTATCTCATTTGGCCTTGGTTTTCCTTACGTCCTTGATTGATTGATTGCCTGATTAATTATAGAGTTGGGGGAACCCAAATGCAAAAAAAATCGAATAAAAGATAACAGATAATCAATCACCAGACTACATCAACAAAGTACACTAATTTGGCCATCCAAGTACTCAACTGTCATTGGTCATCGGAACTCACCTCCAATATCACACTTTCATTTATTTCATACACCACCAACAACTCTCAATGCTTAACCATTTTCAATTGCCAGGAAAGAGGTAGAAATATCTTGTCATGGACACTCGTTCTATGGTGGGCATTTGGACTGTTGCCTCCGGACTTTCAAATGCTTGCTGAACCTGAAAAAGAAAGTAGGCTATAGATGAGATACGACTCTTTTCAAGTCTCAGAAAGCATCTTCCACCATGAACCAGGAAAGTCCTGGAATGAAGAGAGTTTGCAGGTTTCATAGGACCAAGCCCATGGGTATTCTGTCTTCTCAACGTTGTACACTACCTCTTAGAATTGACACTCCATGTCAGACTGTACCCTTTACATCAAGATAAATACCTCATGTCTAATCCAAAGCCTTTCAACATTCATTTCCTCTGTTTTCCATTTCTGACCTACAGATCAGACAATCAGTTATCCCTTGGAAATTGTTCATGAGACCAGGATAGGGAATGGCTCTATACTTACAACTCCCACCAAGACTGATTCCTCCACTGAATGAGAATTAAGTCTCATTACCTTAACTTTGAGACTTGAACACTGAACAACTTTCACTTCACCACCAAGCTGATCTTGTAGTCTTTTGGATGAACCAATTGATGAGATGCTGAGATGCTACTTACCCTAAATCCAGAATTTTTAGCTCTTTTTTCTAAGAATACCCTTGAAAGTACAATGTCTAATTCCTAATTATCCTAAAAAAATTATCTTCTTAGGTCTCTATTCACAGAAACTCTGTCTCAATTTATGCTGCAATCTTCTCATACTCCTTCTTTTTTCTTTTTTTATTTTTTGAGATAGGGTCTCATTCTGTCACCTGCCCTGGAGTGCAGTGGCATGATCTCCACTCACTGCAACCTTGTCTTCCATTGCTAAAGCAATCCTCTCACCTTAGCTCCCAAATAGCTGGGATTACAGGCACCTGCCATCACGCCCACCAAAATTTTGTATTTTATGTAGAGACGGGGTATCTCCATGTTGCCCAGGCTGGTCTCAAATTCCTGGACTCAAGCAATTGGCCCTCTTCGGCCTCTCAAACTGCTGGGGTTGCAGGTATGAGCCGCGGCGCCAGTCCTGGATGGCTTTCTTCTTTAAATGCCAGAATAAAGGTGTATTCTTCTTTTCCCACAGGAGTCATACTGTTCTCTACAGGTTTTACTTTATAAACAACCACACTATACTGTGTTAATACCAATCCTGTTTTCTCTTTAAAAAATAGAATATATTTAGATTAAATAGAATAGATTCTCTCTTTATTCATTTATGCATCTATTTATTCAAAGATTAATTGAATATTTACTGTATGCCAGGTTTGTTGGGGTGCTGAGCAAATCCCCATCATCCTGAAGTTTTCATGTTAGAAAGTAAATATGGGTAAAATAACAGACAAATACGTAAACTATTAATATATGCCGAGTGCAGGAAGGTAAGAACTATGGAGAAAAATAACATAGGAAGAAGTGGGAATAAGGAATGTCCCAAATTGGGCAAGGAGGAGCAAGCCTTTCCTTCTGCAATTCTCCATTGAAAGATCGACTTCTTTATTCCCTCTCACATTCCTTTATGGATCGTATCACAGTCTGTAAACACTTATTTGTTGATTAACCCACATTTTCAGTATCTGTATCTCCCACGAAAATGTGAGTCCTAGATAGGCTAACGGCATGCATGCCTCATGTACCCCTCTGTCACCAGGATGGACCCAATGACCTAGTAGACCACCCAGTTTTTATTCATTTCATAAATGAAGTAATAAAAATTATTTCAAAATATTTTTCATTCTCTAAAACTTAAGAACTTATAGCCTAATACGTAAAGATTATGGTTGACATTATTTTGTTTTACTTTGATCTCCTGGAACTGTTTTTCCCTAAAGCATATTTTAAACACTTGAATGACAGAAACTAGGTATCTCTCAACCTTCACTTGACTGACAAAGATTGTAATTGCGAAGTGAAAGGTGAATCATGACAAATTCTTCTTGAACAAATGAGTGAATGACTAGAAAAGAAAGAGACACTGACCTTCCAAAATACTTCCTCTAGGTGGCAGCGCCAGGAATATCTCTGGAAGCATGCGATGAGTTGTGTGATGAAGATGGAGCCCCTTGTGCTGTCTCTCCTGGACACGTTATCTATGATGATACAGATGGGTATGCCTTGGGCTATGACCTTCACTATTTTTTGTTTACATTTTTGTTTTGAGGATTTTTTTTTAATAAAAGCATAGCTTGGGAATTATCTTTACAGATTTAGACGACATGTTTACAACCTTACATTTAACCACTTTCCGCATAAAGTCAACAAAAAACCTAGCAACAGTTGATCAAAAGGTGCAGTTTGTAAGCATTGCAAGAGATTGTGTAGTGATTGTATTTTGATTCTTGGGACTGACTTTCTACTACAAACATTGTGTTTATTCTCTTGGCTTTTATAGGGGCTTGAGAAATAACTGGAATTATCCCACTTTACAGAGGAAGGAATAGAGGCTCCAAAAGATGAAGAAACTCCCTCATATTACCACAGTGAGTAAGCAACAAAAAATGGCCACTAGGCTCCCAAGTTGTTTGCAGATTATGCCATGCTGTCTTTCACCATATAATAAACAAAATAGATGAACACACACCAAGTTTCAGTGATAGAAGATGAAAAAAGTGATAAAAATCTACTGTACAGGATGGTGCCAATAGTAACCAATACTGTATTGTAAACTTAAAATATGCTAAGAGGGTAGATTTTATGTTAAGTGTTATTTTCACATGCACTCGTGGAATTATAATAATAAACAGAGAAGTGGAAGGATCTTTTGGAGGAGAGAGATATATTTGTGGCACAGATTGTGGTGACGATTTCAGGAGTGCATACTTATCTGTAACTCATTAAGTTGTATACATTATATATGTAACATTATATATGTCAATCATACCTCAGTAAACTGGTTTTAAAAAATAAGACTTAAAAATATACAAATTAAAAATGGTTAAATGTATACTCCTTAAGATAATTACCTAGAAGTGAAATACTAACCAGTGTTCCCCAAGATTAGACGTAATGAGTCCCACCCTATCATCTTCTACTTGTTTTAAAGGGTATCCACAGTTCTAGTAGGGCATGCAATGGCACTGCTCATAGTGGAATCAGATGGGAAATATGGAGAATAAGACTTGAAATTGATCATTTGAGAAAGGGAAGCCATTCCTGGAATCCATGAAAACACTACACAAAACATTAAATGGGTTTGATAAATAACAGAATCCATCATTTGTGTTTAAATGGTGTGTGGTGAATGGGATTCCTTATGTTGTGTTGCTTTAATATTTGGTATGCCTTTGGCTTTAAATTGTAACACTTATAAGAAAAGTACAATTTTTAAAAACGTGGGTGTGGGAGGGGGAAGGAATCTGTTTTCACATCACATCTAAGATCATGTAAAATATGGGAGAGCACACAACATTCCCTCGGATCATTGTTTCTTAGGGATTCTTGATTTGGTAGAATCATTCAAAGGTAGCCTCAGGCCCACAAATCACTTAATACCACCAAAAGACGTATACATGAGGTTGAAGAGCAGAAAACAATGAAGTCCTTCTCTGGTATGTCTTGCAAACTGCATCCTCCAGGTTCTTAGGTGACTGTGAAGACATGACTCCCAAAGATGCTGGACAGTCTCTGACCCACTGTTCCCCATGGTTTGCTGCAGAGACAACAATTTTCTACACACTACTGTGCCTCCTACAGTATGGCTATCAGAATCCCCTTGTTCTTTTTTAATGTTCTTTCTAACTAGTTTCATACACATAGACCCATACACATACAAACACACAGACACACACACACAAACACACACACACACACACATACATACCACTTTGTTTTCTCTCAAGTGTCATTCAACAGTGTGCCTAGTGATAATGAAATCATCTTGTAGTTACCAGTTTTTAGAAAAATTATTTCTGTTTTCTCTTTCATTTGAAAAATAGCTCCCAAGAGCTATGAATCAATTGGTCTCAAAATCCTGGCTTCAAGTGTTCCTTCAGCTTTGGCCTGAAGGAAAGCAGCCCATCTGGGTTTGCCTCATCATGTTCAGTTCCACACATTCCCCCCAGGATGCCATGAGACATGAGCACCAAGAACGTGCTGTCGGAGGACTTGTGCTCTGGTCAGGCAGCAAATGCCCACAGCAATGACTTCATATTCTGGAAAAGAGCAATGTCTAACTTTAGTCGGAGAAGCATCACAATTAATGGGGCCTCCTAGATTTACCATGAGCGAAACAAGAAACATATGTAACATCTGGGTCATGGCGCTTCACATAGTGCTTACTCAGTGATGACAGCTGTTTTATGGTTTCATATTTCCTTCTTAATGGGGCTATGGGTTGCCATTTTCTTCTCTGGCTGACACACCGTCTTCTTTATATATTGTATATTTTTATATGTTACTCATTTCCCTTTTTCTTTTCCATCTCAATCTTTCTCCTTACCTACCAAGAGTCATGTGTTATAAATGCATCACACCACTTTCTTTGTAAAACCCATCCCAGTTTGCTTAGAATCAAATCAAACTTCTGGTCTGACCATACTCCACCCACATACTATGTCCCTTCTCCTCCAAACTTGAGTCATACTGGTCTTCTCTTTGTGCTTCTCATGTGCCAGTTTCATTTTCAGCTCAGCTCTTTCACAGGTAGCTTCTCGTACTTTGAAGGCACTGCATTCATGTCTCTCCAAGGTTGTCTCCTTCTGGTAGTCCAGTCCAACCCCTGTGTTATCTCCCCACGGAGGCTTTTTCAGCCAACCCAAGAACATTTTTCCTTACCCTACAATTCTCTGTCATGTTTCCTTTTTCTTTTTTCTTACTCTTGGCTTTCTTGTCACTCTTATGTAGACACACATATATGCACACCTGTTCTCTGAAGCTGTCCGTTTTGCTTATAACTTCACTGTTTCTCTCTACTGTAACCTAGATGGATGCCGACTGGGAACTTCCTGTCTCATTTACAGACCTACTCCCAATGCTAGGAATAGCTTTGGTCACCAATTTAGTACTCAATATTTGTTTTAAGACTGTACTCCTGTTTAACACTTATTACTATATAATTTTATGGAGAATCTTGGGGCTGCATCCCAATCACCAGACTTTGAATCTCAATCAGAAATGTGAAAACTCGTGCCAATCATATTTTGTCTAGTTTTATGGAATTGAGGACATTTGGAGCAAAAAAGAGACATAAATTTACCAATCTAATGCTTTCATTTTTTGCATCACACACACACACACACACACACACACACACACACACACAAGGTAGCAGAGATTGTTAAACTTTGTTGAGCTTCTATAAAGCTAACTAGTTATTAGAAGGATGCGTGTTCAATATGTATGAGTTTGGGGTGGCTGAGGGGTTGTTACCCTGGCTGTCAGATTCTCTTCTACATCCACACTGTAACCCAGATCCTCAAGCAGCTTCTTCATCTCCATGATGGCAAAGTCAGCCCCATTTCTTGGAGGCAGATGGTCAAACTCTTTATTGCATATGATGAGAACCAGGCGTATGCGGTCCTTTCTCTCCTTTATTGGATAGATCTGCAGGAGGTGGAGATGCAGTGAATTTAATTTATTCAGGTTTCTTTTCTACCCCCTTATGCCTATCAATGTTGCTTTTTTAAGTCTTCATGCAGCTGCTCTCTGCTGTAACTTGTATCAAAAGACATTGACTTCTTCTTTCTCAAGAACCCAGAGAAAGACAACGACATATCTGGAATGGTTATTCAATACTCTTGAGGAAACTAAAATAATGGCTACCCCTTTTCTCATCCCTTTTTTTCTACACCTACGCAAATCTTTCCTAGTATTTAAGATTCGGGTCAAATTTCATTAAAATCAAGAGATGTGGTCATTGGCTCCAGTAAAAAATGAATATAGCAAAGGTCTTTGCCTTTGGAAGCATAGTTATTTTGATACCATTTTTAACACATCAACTTGTAATGTTTTTCAAGCCTTAATTATATTTTCAAGTATCCTTCATGTCTAGACTTTTCAACTAGAGTGCAAACAGTTACTACTCAGCTGTATTATCTTATAAACATTTTTATTCCATGGCTAAAGTTACAATTGTCATAAATTCCAAATGATTACAAAAATAAATACTTGAGCCATAGGAAAACCAATTCTCTTTCAACCCATGATAAAATGATCTAGATCATGGGTTGAGAGAGAATTGGTGTCTGTGTGAAGTCACATAATCTTTTCCTCGCTGAAAACATTCATGAAATAGTTACTGCCATCCCCACCCCCAATCATTTAGTGCTGTAAAAAATGGTGCACTTAATGAAAGCAACGATTTCTCTTCTTTTTTTCTGTTTCATGCAGACAGTATAACACCTTTTCAGCTCTTTCTTTACATAGTCTCAGGAGTTATTCATGAGGGCAAAGCTTGAGGGCATCTGTAGATTCTCTTGCCTCAGGTGGTCCAACCTCCATATTCGAATGAGGTGGAGAATATTACATAATATAAGTTGTGATTTCTGCTTCTGTGACCCAATTTATCACCTAAGAAGATCGAGAGAGAAGATGTCCTGGGAAGAAGATTTCGTCACATGTAGGGGTTATAGTTATATCTCATATCTAGGAGATATTCTATATCGGGAGATGCATTGTTACTGGAAAAGAGAGAAAAGCAGATCCACCCAAAAATGCAATCATAGATTCTGATCATTCTGGGAAAAATATTTTGACGATGTTGGTGTTAAATTTGGCCTTTCCTTATACAGTCAAAAGAATTTGATTTTTCCAAATGTTTTACTCTAGGATAAAGGTTTTACTCATTTATTCATGTGGACTTTCTATTGTGTCTGTGCAAGAGTATACTGAGTAAGTAGTTGTCAGAGCGCTATCTACTACAAATTTAATGTGTGTTCCATTTCCAATACTCAATTTTTTACTATCGCATTTAAAAAGGAAAACTAAACAAATAAATTTAATTTTTATTACATATTTATTTAATATAACATATAGGAGGTATTATTTCAACATGTTTCATTAGCCACAAGCCAAGTGCTTCATAGCTACATGTTGCGAGTGGCTACCATACAGGATGGACAGCATTCCGTTTTGGATTAATAGTCCCCTCCTAACCCCCACTACACCTGCCGATCCATATATCTACCAATCCAAAGAATATTGAATCTTGTACATTCCAGGAATTATATTTTCAACAACCTTACTCTAAATTTTTAATGATTCTAAAAGAAGTGAACTTCTATTATCCCTATGCAAATTGTAAAGCCAACTATTTAATGGAAAAATGCTGCCTTGTAACCATAATGGTGTGTCCAAAAAGTTACCTAATATAAACTAACTTAATAAAAGGTTATATGTCCCACCCACTTATTATAAATAAAAAATGAATGCATATAATGCAATATAAATCATCATTATCATTATTATTTGCAAGTCACTGTACCAATGATTTTATAAATGTTAATATAGTAGACCCTCACAATCAGCCATTGGGATGGTTATTACATTCCCTATAGTATATTTATTATGTTATTATATATATTATATATTGTATTGTTATGATATATAATATTTTATCAATAATATATTATAACATATCACATTATATCTAATACATATTATATATTTATATATTATATTTAACTTAACAATTTTCTTTATATAACACATTAGGATTCACATCTTGTTTTTTTCACCATATTCTATATTGTTAAACATGACATGGCTTCAGTTGAAATAATTAATATATTTGAGCCTCCATCATGCCCAGTGCATTACTGAAATTTCACAAAAAAATTCATTTGAAATGTATATTAACTTATCTTACATGGAAATGGGAAGGTAGTAAGTAATTGATTCAAATAACATGAAAAGAACTAAGAATATATAGTATATGCGGAACAAGAATTGTAATGTAGGGGTTGAGAATCCAGAGCTCCCATTCTTAATTCATCAAGCTACATTGCCTGACTGTTGGTGAAGAGCTTCTTAAGAGAATGCAGACAAGATATTCAAGGGGCTCAGAAAAGATTAATACATTCCCACAGGTAAGATCACAAAGGCTTCTTAGAAGAGGTAGCAAAAATATTGGTTTTGCAATATCAGGTACAGATGTTGGAACAAAATATGAAGATTTGCAAACAGTAAGCAGATTAGTTTGTGGGATATCCAATCTGCCTGAGTTCTGGGTTTCTGTTCTATTTATTTGTGTGCTCAGTAAACTAATATAGTGTTGATTGAAAGAATGATATGTGAAGAAATATGATAATTAAAAATATGGAAGAGTTTACAGCACAACAAATGCCACATGTAGCAAACACACAGCTAACATCATACTCAAAGGTGAAAAGTTGAAAATCTTTTCTCCAACATCAGGAAGAAGACAAAGATACTCATGTTAACCACTTCTATTCAACATAGTACTGCTAGTCCTAGCCAAAGCAATTCGACAACAAAAAGAAATAAAAGGCATCAAAATTGGAAAGGAAGAGGTTTAATTCTGCCTGTT
The DNA here is from genome assembly GCF_000001405.40 of Homo sapiens. Taxonomy (NCBI): domain Eukaryota; kingdom Metazoa; phylum Chordata; class Mammalia; order Primates; family Hominidae; genus Homo; species Homo sapiens. The sequence continues at coordinate 211,086 of NW_025791791.1, forward strand.
TAAAAAGAAATGGTTTTATATAGAGAAAACCTTAAAGGCTCCACCAAAAATTTTTTAGAACAAATAAACAAATTCAGTAAAATTGAAGAATACAAAATCAACATATAAAAATCTGTAGTGTTTCTATATAACAATAAACTATCTTTAAAAAATATAAGAACTTCCATTTAAAATAGCTACAAAAATAATTAGAAATACATTTAACAACGTGGGTGAAAAACATGCGCACTTAAAAATATAAAACTCGAAAGTTATCAACATAGTAAGACTCTGTCTCTACAAAAGAATTTAAAAAATTGGCTGGGCATGGTAGCAGGTGTCTATAGTCCTTGCTACTTGGAAGTCTGATGTGGGAGGATTGCTTAAGCCCAGGAGTTTGAGGTTACAGTGAGCTATAATTGTGACACTGCACTCTAGCCTTGGCTACAGAAAAATACCCTGTCTCAAAATTAACAACAATAACAAAAACCCCAAAACTATAAAACATTGATAGAAGAAATTGAAGAAGACACAAATAAATAGATATTTTGAGTTGATGTACTGCAAAAATTACCATTATTAACAAGTCCCTAATACCCAAAGAAATCTAAATATATAATGCAATCCCTATCAAAATTACAGTGGCACTTGTTATAAAAATAAAAACAAATCCTAAAATTTATATGAAATCACAAAAAACCATGAATAGACAAAGCAATCTTGAGTAAAGGGAAGAAAGCTGCAGACATCAACTACCTGACTTAAAAAAAAAATATATATATATATATATAGTACAAAGCTACAGTAAGTAAAATAGCACAAGAGTGGCATAGAAACAGACATAGACAGCAATGGAACAGGACAGCAAGCCCAAAAATAAACCCAATTATTTACATTCATTTAGACTTTTCTACAAAGGTTTCATAAACACACAATGAGGAAAGGACAAACTCTTCAATAAGTGATATTGGGAAAATTGGATAACCACATACAAAAGAATGAAATTGGATGCTTATGTCTCACCATACACAAAAATAAACTTAAAATGGGTTAACTATGTAAATGTAAGAATTGAAACTATTAGAAGAAAACAGAGGAGAATAGCTTCATGACGTTAGTCTAGACAATGATTTCTGGATATGATGCAGAAGTACAGGAAGCAAAAGCTAAAATACACAAATGAAATTAAATTACATCAAACTAAAAAAAGTTTTTTTGTTTTGTTTTGTTTTGTTTTTTGTTTTTTTGATACAGTGTCTTGCTCTGTCACCCAGGCTGGAGTGCAGTAGCACAGTCTCGGCTCACTGCAACCTCCATGTCCAGGGTTCAAGCGATTCTCTTGCCTCAGCCTCTGAAGCATATGAGACTACAGGCGCCTGCCACCTTGCCTGGCTAATTTTTGTATTTTTAGTAGAGACGGGGTTTCACCATGTTGGCCAGACTAGTCTTGAACCTCAGATGATCCGCCAGCCTCAGCCTCCCAAAGTGCTGGGATTACAGGTGTGAGCCGCTGTGTCCGGCCCAAACTAAAAAGCTTTTACGCAGCCAAAGAAACATCAAAAGATTAAAGAGATATCAACAGAATTGGGAAATTATTTGCAAACCATGCATCTGATAAGGAGTTAATATGGAAAATATAAGGAACACAAACAATTAATAGAAAACAAACTGATTTAAAAATAAAGGACCAGAAGAGCCATTTTTCAGAAGAAGATATAGAAACAATATGTATATGAAAAATGATCAGCCTCTGTAATCACCAGGAAAATTGAAACCACAATGTGATATCACTTCACACCTTTTAGAATGGCTACTATCAAAAAGACAAAAGATAACAAATGTTGGAGAGGTTATGGATAAAATAAACCCTTATACACTGTTGGTAAAATGCAATTTAGCATGGTCATTATGGAAAACTATACGGAGACTCCTCAGGAAGTTAAAAATAGAGCTAAACATATGATCCAGCAATCCCACTATTAAGCAGGTATTAAAAAAAATGGAAATCCGTGTTTCAAAGAGATATCTGAACTTCTATTTTCATTGCAGCATTATTCACAATAGCCAAGATCCAAAATCAATCTAAGTGTCTGTAGATGGACGAACAGATAAAGAAAATGTGGTTTATATACACAATGCAACATTATTCAGCTTTTAAAAGGAACTAAATCCTGTCATTTCTGACAGTATTGATGCACATGACGGACATTATGTTAAGTGAAATAAGCCAGACCAGGCAGCAAAAGACAAACACCACATGATCTCACTCGAATGTAGAATCTAAAAAAGTTAAACTTGTAAAAGCAGAAGGTAGAATGGTGGGTACCAGGGGAAGGTAGGGAGTTTGGGAGATGTAGGTAAAATTAAACAAAATTTCAATTAGATAAGAAGAATAAGTTAAAGAGATATATTGTGCAACAGGGTGACTTAAGTTAATAACAATGTATTGTATTCTTGACAATTATTTAAGAGAGTAAAATTTAAGTGTTCTAATCACAAAAAGATAAACATATGAGATAATCCATATGCTGATTAGATGAATTCAGGCATTCCAGAATATATACATACTGCAAAACATTATGTTATACATGGAAAATATATATACTCTTCATTTGTCAAAAACATAAAGAACTTATAATTTTAAAAAAATGTGGTCTGAGATCCTCATTTTATAATCTATACATTCTCATGCCATCAATTATAAGTTTAAAATAATAAATAAATCACTCTCAAATTTATAGATTGGACCTAGATGTAGATCTCGCTATTGAAACCCATACATGTGATAGACAATAAGACATCTCTTAACTATATCCCACAACCTCATTCAACTCAACTTTTACAGATGAACTGCTCATTTATTCATTTCCAGCATTCATTCCCTTTTCCATTTACTGGTAAATGCCTATACTCCAACTACAAGAAAGCAGCAAATCCTGCTGATATTAAACCTCTTCAGCCTTCCTTATGTCTTATTTCCAGTCTCAATTCACATTGCATTGATTTTATTTGCTAAACATTTTCAGATTCTGACCACTTCCCTCAATTCTAATTGTTCATTACTTCTATCCAGGCCAACATCCTTTCTTTCTTAATAAATAAGTTGATAAGAACCTTGTAAACTGATTTTCCTTTCTATTCTATTCTTCACAATGAAGAGTGTTCCAATATCTATATTTGACCATGAAACCTCTCAGCTCATTCTAATCTAGGCCTACTCATTCACCCTCATCTTCTGATACTGTTCTGACCTTGTGCCTTATATTCAAAACACTCTGCCCTTCATTTAATTTCTAGAAATCCTCTACATTGGGATCTCTGTATTTCTAGACCCCACCTTCTCATTCCTTCTTGTTTGTCTACTACTGTCTGTGTATCCTTCAAGTCTCAGATTAGACAGCACTTTTTTCATGGAATCCTGTCTGATTTTCTGAGGAGAGACAGTGTCAGAGTCACATGCCCACAGGGCATGTTGCTTCTCCTTAGGATAGCATATCTTTTTCCCTTTATTTGTGATTCCCAGCCTACTTTTCAGTATTCACTACTAGATTTTATGCTCTGTGAGGACAGGGACCATGATCTATGCCTGTGCTAATTTTGGCATTCGAGGGATATTTATTAATTATATTCTAAATCACCAGTCAAGCGAATGTAGGAAGAAATGAAAAAAAAAAATTAGGTGTGGCTCAACCCTTGTGGAATACTGTTTTCTATTAACAGCAAACCAGGTAAGTTCAATTACATTTAACAGACAAAAAGTGCACATTGGAAGTTTCAAGCAGAGGGAAGTCATATTCATTCTCCTATTCATTCAGGATTATTTAAGGAGCAGCAGCTCTTGAAACTGCTAGTATTGGGAGTACCATTTTGGAAACATGCTTACAGTCAAGAGGAAAGATTGACATGCAAATAAGTATAATGAAACACCTTTTAAGAATTTAAATATTGAGCAGATGCTCAAGAAAAGCATAAGCAAAGTGTGTCTCAGGTAGACGATAGCTGTCCAGATGAGGGATGGCTTGGCACTGAGACCTGAAGAACTGGTAGGAATTTGCCCCTTGGACAACTGGCGGCTGGTCTCCTGTCAAGGAGCAGTGTGAGAAGAAGCAAAAAGGCTTGAGGGTGTCTGATGTAACCAGAAAGTTAGGAGAGCTTGGCTTTAGAAGGAAAAGAAGTGTGCATCCGAGGCTGAAGTGGCAGTGATCAGAGACAGGGCAGGTATTTGAAGATATTTTCACAACCTCAGCATCACCCCACAACCTCAGCGGATATTTTCAGAAAATTAGAGTAGTGGCAGAGTTTGAGAGTCATGCCGACCTGAGATCACTCCTCTCAACTGACTTTTGACCTAAAGCATGCTCTGAAGGCATTCTCTCAGAATCCCCTTCAACTATAATATGGCAATAATAGCACAACTGTATTGCTTGGTTTAAAATATTAAATCAGAGAGACTGCATGAAATAGCTGTCATATGGTAAGTATTTTTTAAAGAAACCATTATTATATGTATTTTTTTGTTATTGTAATAATCACTGAATGAAAGCTGCAGTGATAGTAAAAATGGAGAGAATCAATTAGAGGAAACAACTCACCAGCACCACAGTTTTGATTCCAGGCAGTGATGTAATGCTTAAACACTTTAAAGGATACTCTTCCTCAGAAGTTTTAGTTAACAATAGCTGACTAAAGTTGGTTGTTTATAATTATCAAACCACAACTTGTTTTTGACTACTGGCTTTCAATTTCTACTGTCTATTTTTTAATGCCTTGATTCAAATCCAATGACCTGTAACATCAGCCTGCTTGGCTGAAGAGGTAGCCATGTTTATGAATTTGACTAACTGATGCCTAGCCAAATGCTTTATTAGTTTCATGAAGAAGACAAGTGAAGAAAACCACCAACCTCTATATTTTGGGAGCTTAAGTTAAATATTGTGAGGTGAAACATAAACCCCAGAGAGAATTATACTACAGGGAGAATCAAAGGAGAAAATAAACTCAACGACGAGGAAGTAGGAGTGAAGTAAATACAGTAATTGTTTTATGAAGCTGAAATCATACTTTACAGGGATTAATGGAAAAAAATGGATACACATATTTCAAAAGGTAGAAAAACTTGACTGAAAAATCATATTTTTAAAAACGCAATAGGGAGCAACCATATGTTCCTGAGCAAAAAGAATTACATTAATAGATCACTAGCAGGTAAGCAGAGACAGGTAACTAACTGACTGACTTTCCTAATAATACTAATCTGCAGAAAAACCTATTCCAGATCAGCTTTATAGGGATTATCTGCAGATATACAGAAATTAATAAATGTCTGCAGGCTATTTAAGATTGATCTATTCAGGGTAAGGAAATGGGTAGTCATCTAATTTTTTTTATGTGACTACACATTACTGTGATATAAGGTTTAGAATCCACTGATCTAGTCCCATTTATTTTTCAGTGAGGAGAATGAAGCCAAAGAAGCGATATGACCTGCTGGAATACTATCTGTCTAAATAGCTCATGACTCTATCCCTTAGGCTTTTTCAGCTTCTATGTATAAGACAGGAGACCTGAAAGTTGTGTGCAGGAAGAATTGGAAGGTTAAGTCCTGGAGAGAGGGAGATCAATTAACAACAAAACAAAATAAAACAACTGTGATAGCAACCAGTGAAATATTGCAGTAACGTAGTCAGTACAAGGACTAAAGAGAAAGGGAGAAAAATGGAATAACTTTAAACAGACCAAGAATGTAATTCACAATAAGAGATGGCAAAGAGGGTGACGACAACTCAGAAGCTCTCATATCTGATTCTGGGAGAAAGGTTTATAATCTGGGCAATAATTTGGAAACAATAGAAAACAGAGAAAATTTCAGAGTGCATTTGGAAACTTCTAGAATTTTCTCACACAAATAATAACTTCCTCTGCTTTCTTCACTCTCCCTTTGATTACCAGAAGCTGAAAGCAGGGAATTAACTTCTTTCTAGCTAGAAGACATCTGGAGAACATATTCTCTCCTTCAGTGTCTAATACTAGCTCCCGTGATTCAAACTACACACAACCAGTAAGAAAAAAGATTCAGCATGCACTCTATTGGCCCATTTCATGTTTTGTGTTCATTACACAGCAATAAATAAAGTATTTTCTAAGATCCCAGTCCCAAACTCCTATTCAGAAGAGGACTCACCTGCCATAGATAACAGCCTCCGTCCTTTCTTACAGCACTGAAAAAAGGCTCAGACTGAAAAATGAAAGTAAACTGTGTATGTACTTATTGCAAAGAATGGAAATATGTAATCACAGATTGAGAGACTGCTGCTTAGAAATTCTAGGCTCATTGTCAAGAAATTCCTTGTCATCAGCAAATTGGCATCCAAGTACTGGACTCTAGTTTCTTCCCGTGGGAAGAAACAAAGAATGGAAACGACCAACATTGTTATGTGCGTTGACACTTCAGCCTGTTTTTTTCCCTCCTTTTCCTTTTCCTGCTCTGTAGTCCCCACACCTTCTTCTATCCATCTGTCTCCTCTTTTTGATCGCTCAGTTTTTGTTTCTCTAATCACATAAAAACACAAATTCTGAAGGAGTTTAATCTAACAAGCCTCCTTTTATTTCCTCATAAGAATTAACCAGATAGTTTATATTTCCTGTTTAAACTGTGTTATTGGATCCTGAAGGTGCCTTCGCTTTTCTGTCTCATTGTTGTCTTAACCTTTGGTGGAAATAGTGCTGAAGAAACCCTCTTCTCTACTCCATGGCATGCTTTCCTTTAGCTACCTAATATGGCCATAATATTTAATTTTTACCAAAAGTGAAAGTTTACCTCTGCTTTTTGATATTCCCTGAACAAAGGCTGATTGTAGAAGCAGTCTCAGGCTGTAGTACAATTAATGTGTGATTGTACAAAAGAGAGATGCCCAGAAGAATAGTTAGTAAAAGGAGAAAGTAAAAGACAGTGAGGTGTTGAACTTTGAAAGTTTTCAAGAGGTCAGAAATTCATCTTACCTTTTTTGAGTTTAGGATTAGAAGAGGCTCATGATTACAACCCAACTGGTTGTTCTTCCAGTCCTTCAAAATCTTCACAGCACTGAGTGACTGATTTGACCCTAAACTCTTTTTCCTTGCACAATGCAGGTGATGCAGGTGCATAATTTTGCATTCAGTGCACTGTAGTGTTTCTTCATAGTTGTATGTTCTGTCTGCTAATACTTTTATGTTTGTTGACTGTCATACCTTCTCAAGGAGACTGAGCTATTAGGGATGAAAGCGTTAATCAAAATTTACTTTGTATTTCTCAATTCTCTTAGCTAAAGGTACAAATATGCAGATCTTGTTCATGGATTTTTCAATAGTAAGCTCTGGGATTTGGGAAAAAAGATCCCCTTTGCACACCATTCTGTCACTGTCATAACTGCCTTTCTTCTCCCCATCTCTCCTGCTAAGTTCTAAATTCTTTGAAGTCGGGTACCTGCTGTAATTTATATCTGTGTTCCTAAAGGAGAAAGCCCAGAAAATGGTTTATTAAAGAAAAAAAATGGTGCTATTAGCCAGTTCAGGTCTTATGAGTCAAGTCTAAAGACTAAATCCATAACCTTTTCTACATTCAGCTCCTGTTTTTTCAATGGGGTGAAAAACAACAACAAAAACAGGACACCCTTTTGTTTTTATATCAGACTTAATGGAATGCTTAAGTAAATGTTTGTTTTTTTAACAGACATGACTCTAAAAACAGGTGCACAATGAGGGAATTCCTGACTTCCTATGAGAAAAAAATAAACATTTAAAAAATGGCCCCACTAAAAGATATGCAAGTTATAAAGTCACACCACCAGTGGTAATATACACACTCTGAAAAGGAAAGTGTCCACGCTGTGTGTAAATATTCCCCTGCTGAAATTAGAGAGAAACACCTAAAAGTGAGCATTCATAATCTTATGGTCACCTCAAAAATAATCAACTGACCCACAGAAAGAGGGCACTAAGAACAGAACTTTGAGAGAAGAGCAATGTACACTGCACTGATCAGAAGGAAAATATTCCTTCAGTATTCACTGTTTATTATATTACAGGTAGAGTACTGCTATTCCAAAATGCTGAGAACAAAAAGTGTTTTGGATTTCAGAACTTTCTGAATTTTGGAATATCCACATTATAATTACCAGGTGATCATCCCAAATCCAAAAACCTGAAATCTGAAATTCTTCAATAAGCATTTTCTTTTTTTTAAAGAGGAAAATGGTTATTTATTGTTGTTGTTATTATTATTATTATTATTATTATTATTATACTTTAAGTTCTAGGGTACATGTGCACAACGTGCAGGCTTGATATATAGGTATATATGTGCCATGTTGGTTTGCTGCACCCATCAACTCTTCATTTACATTAGGTATTTCTCCTAATGCTATCCCTCCCCCAGCCCTCCACCTCCTGACAGGCCCCAGTGTGTGATGTTCCCTGCTCTGTGTGCAAGTGTTCTCATTGTTCAGTTGCCACCTATAAGTGAGAACATACGGTGTTTGGTTTTCTGTCCTTGTGATAGTTTGCTCAGAATGATGGTTTCCAGCTTAATCCATGTCCCTGCAAAGGCCACGAACCCATCATTTTTTATGGCTGCATAGTATTCCATGGTGTATACGTGCAACATTTTCTTAATCCAGTCTATCATTGATGGACATTTGGGTTGGTTCCAAGTCTTTGCTATTGTGAATAGTGCCACAATAAACATACGTGTGCATGTGTCTTTACAGTAACATGATACATAATCCTTTGGGTATACACCTGGTAAGGGGATTGCTGAGTCAAATGGTATTTCTAGTTCTAGATCCTTGAGGAATCGCCACACTGTCTTCCACAATGGTTGAACTAATTTACACTCCCACCAACAGTGTAAAAGTGTTCCTATTTCTCCACATACTCTCCAGCATCTGTTGTTTCCTGACGTTTTAATGATCACCATTCTAATTGGTGTGAGATGGTATCTCAAAGGGGTTTTGATTTGCATTTCTCTGATGATCAGTGATGATAAGCATTTTATGTTGTGTCTGTTGGCTGCAATAAACGGCTTCTTTTGAGAAGTGTCTGCTCATATCTTTAGCCCACTTTTTGATGGGTTTTTTTTTTCCTTGTTAATTTGTTTGAGTTCTTTGTAGATTCTGGATATTAGCCCTTTGTCAGATGGGTAGATTGCAAAAATTTTCTCCCATTCTATAGGTTGCCTGTTTACTCTGATGGTAGTTTATTTTGCCATGCAGAAGCTCTTTAGTTTAATTAGATCCCATTTGTCTATTTCGGCTTTCATTGCTATTGCTTTTGGTGTTTTAGTCATGAAGTCCTTGCCCTTGACTATGTCCTGAATGGTATTGCCTAGGTTTTCTTCTAGGGTTTTAATGGTTTTAGGACTAACATTAAATCTTTAATCCATCTTGAATTAATTTTTGTATAAGGTGTAAGGAAGAGATCCAGTTTCAGTTTTCTACATATGGCTAGCCAGTTTTCCCAGCACCATTTATTAAATAGGGAATCCTTTCCCCATTTCTTGTTTCTGTCAGGTTTGTCAAAGATCAGATGGTTATAGATGTGTGGTATTATTTCTGAGGGCTCTGTTCTGTTCCATCGGTGTATATATCTGTTTTGATACCAGAACCGTGCTGTTTTGGTTACTGTAGCCTTGTAGGATACTTTGAAATCAGGTAGCGTGATGCCTCCAGCTTTGTTCTTTTTGCTTAGGATTTTCTTGGCAATGTGGAATCTTTTTTAGTTCCATATGAACTTTAAAGTAGTTTTTTCCAATTCCGTGAAGAAAGTCATTGGTAGTTTAATGGGGATTGCATTGAATCTATAAATTATCTTGGGCAGTATGGCCATTTTCATGATATGGATTCTTCCTATCCATGAGCGTGGAATGTTCTTCCATTTGTTTGTGTCCTCTTTTATTTCGTTGAGCAGCTCCTTCACTTGAAGGAAGGTCCTTCACTTCCCTTGTAAGTTGGATCCCTAGGTATTTTATTCTCTTTGTAGCAATTGTGAATGGGAGTTCACTCATGATTTGGCTCTCTGTTTGTCTCTTATTGGTGTATAGGAATGCTTGTGATTTTTGCACATTGATTTTGTATCCTGAGACTTCGCTGAAGTTGCTTATCAGCTTAAGGAGATTTTGGGCTGAGACGATGAGGTTTCTAAATATACAATCATGTCATCTGAAAACAGAGACAATTTGACTTCCTCTTTTCCTAATTGAATACCTTTATTTCCTTCTCTTGCCTGATTGCCCTGGCCAGAACTTCCAACACTATGTTGAATAGTAGTGGTGAGAGAGGGCATCCCTGTCTTGTGCCAGTTTTCAAAGGGAATGCTTCCAGTTTTTGCCCATTCAGTATGATATTGGCTGTGGGTTTGTCATAAACAGCTCTTATTATTTTGAGATGTGTTCTATCAATACCTAGTTTATTCAGAGTTTTTAGCATGAAGGGGTGTTGAATTTTGTTGAAGGCCTTTTCTGCATCTATTGAGATAATCATGTGGTTTCTGTCAGTAGTTCTGTTTATGTGATGGATTACGTTTATTGATTTGCATGTGTTGAACTAGCCTTGCATCCCAGGGATGAAGCCGATTGAACATAGTGGATAAGCTTTTTGACGTGCTGCTGGATTCGTTTTGCCAGTATTTTACTGAGGATTTTCGCATCGATGTACATCAGGGATATTGGTCTAAAATTATCTTTTTTTGTTGTGTCTCTCCCAGGCTTTGGTATTAGGATGATGCTGGCCTCATAAAATGAGGTAGGGAGGATTCCCCCTTTTTCTATTGATTGGAAATTTTCAGAAGGAATAGTACCAGCTCCTCTTTGTACCTCTGGTAGAATTCGGCTGTGAATCTGTCTGGTCCTGGACTTTTTTTGGTTGGTAGGCTATTAATTATTGCCTCAATTTCAGAACCTGTTATTGGTCTATTCAGAGATTCAACTTCTTCCTGGTTTGGTCTTGGGAGGGTGTATGTGTCCAGGAATTTATCCATTTCTTCTAGATTTTCTAGTTTATTTGCATAGAGGTGTTTATAGTATTCTCTGATGGTAGTTTGTATTTCTGTGGGATCGGTGGTGATATCCCCTTTATCATTTTTTATTGCGTCTATTTGATTATTCTCTCCTTTCTTCTTTATTAGTCTTGCTAGTGGTCTATCAATTTGGTTGATCTTTTCAAAAAACCAGATCCTGGATTCAGTGATTTTTTGAAGGTTTTTTTTCTGTCTCTATCTCTTTCAGTTCTGCTCTGATCTTAGTTATTTCTTGCCTTCTGCTAGCTTTTGAATTTGTTGCTTCTCTAGTTCTTTTAATTGTGATGTTAGTGTGTTGATTTTAGATCTTTCCTGTTTTCTCTGTGGGCATTTAGTGCTATAAATTTCTCTCTATACACTGCTTTAAATGTGTCCCAGAGATTCTGGTACATTGTGTCTTTGTTCTCATTGGTTTCAAAGAGTGTCTTTATTTCTGCCTTCATTTAGTTATTTACCCAGTAGTCATTCAGGAGCAGGTTTTCAGTTTTTATGTGGTTGTGCAGTTTTGAGTGAACTTCTTAATCCTAAGATCTATTTTGATTACACTGTGGTCTGAGAGACAGTTTATTGCAATTTCTGTTCTTTTACATTTGCTGAGGAGTGCTTTACTTCCAATTATGTGGTCAATTTTAGAATAAGTGTGACGTAGTACTGAGAAGAATGTATATTCTGTTGATTTGGGGTGGAGAGTTCCATAGATGTCTATTAGGTCCACTTGGTGTAGAGCTGAGTTCAAGTCCTGGATATCCTTGTTAACCTTCTGTCTTGTTGATCTGTCTAATATTGACAGTGGGGTGTTAAAGTCTCCCATTATTATTGTGTGGGAGTCTAAGTCTCTTTGTAGGTCTCTAAGGACTTGCTTTTTGAATCTGGGTGCTCCTGTATTGGGTGCATATATATTTACAGTAGTTAACTCTTCTTGTTGAATTGATCCCTTTACCATTATGTAATGGCCTTCTTTGTCTCTTTTGATCTTTGTTTGTTTAAAGTCTGTTTTATCAGAGACTAGGATTGCAAACCCTGCTTTTTTTTTTTTTTTTTTTTTTTTTTTTTTGGCTTTCCATTTGCTTGGTAGATCTTCTTCCATTCCTTTATTTTGAGACTATGTGTGTCTCTGCACATGAGATGGGTCTCCTGAATACAGCACACTGATGGGTCTTGACTCTTTATCCAATTTGCCAGTCTGTGTCTTTTAATTGGGCCATTCAGCCCATTTACATTTAAGGTTAATATCGTTATGTGTGAATTTGATCCTGTCATTATGATGTTAGCTGGCTATTTTGCCCATTAATTGATGCAGTTGCTTCATAGTATCAATGGTCTTTACAATTTGGCATGTTTTTGCAGTAGCTGATACTGATTGTTTCTTTCCATGTTTAGTGCTTCCTTTAGGAGCTCTTGTAAGGCAGACCTCGTGGTGACAAAATCTCTCAGCATTTGCTTATCTGTAAAGAATTTTATTGCTCCTTTACTTATAAAGCTTAGTTTAGCTGGATATGAAATTCTGGGATGAAAATTCTTTTCTTTAAGAATGTGGAATATTGGCCCCTACTCTCTTCTGGCTTGTAGGGTTTCTGCCAAGAAATACACTGTTAGTCTGATGGGCTTCCCTTTGTGGGTAACTTGACCTTTCTCTCTGGCTGCCCTTAACATTTTTTCCTTCATTTCCACATTGGTGAATCTGACAATTATGTGTCTTGGGGTTGCTCTTCTCAAGGAGTATCTTTGTGGCATTCTCTACATTTCCTGAATTTGAATGTTGGCCTGCTTTGCTAGGTTGGTGAAGTTCTCCTAGATAATATCCTGAAGAGCGTTTTCCAACTTGGTTCCATTCTCCCCATCACTTTCAGGTACATGAATCAAATGTAGATTTGGTCTTTTCACATAGTCCCATATTTCTTAGAGGCTTTGTTTCTTTCTTTTTACTCTTTTTTCTCTAACCTTGTCTTCTTGCTTTATTTCATTAATTTGATCTTCAATCACTGATACCCTTTCTTCCACTTGATCAAACATAGTCCCATATTTCTTAGAGGCTTTGTTTCTTTCTTTTTACTCTTTTTTCTCTAACCTTGTCTTCTTGCTTTATTTCATTAATTTGATCTTCAATCACTGATACCCTTTCTTCCACTTGATCAAATCGGCTATTGAAGCTTATGCATGCCTCACGAAGTTCTTGTGCCATGGTTTTCAGCTCCATCAGGTCATTTAAGGTCTTCTCTACACTATTTATTCTAGTTAGCCATTTGTCTAACCTTTTTTCAAGGTTTTTAGCTTCCTTTTGATGGGTTCGAACGTGCTCCTTTAGCTCGGAGAAGGTTGTTATTACCGACCATCTGAAACCTAGTTCTGTCAACTTGTGAAAGTCATTCTCCATCCAGCTTTGTTCTGTTGCTGGCAAAGAGCTGCAATCCTTTGGAGGAGAAGAGGCGCTTTGGTTTTTAGAATTTTCAGCTTTCCTGCTCTGGCTTCTCCCCATCTTGGTGGTTTTATCTACCTCTGGTCTTTGATGTTGGTGACCTACAGATGGTGTTTTGGTGTAGATGTCCTTTTTGTTGATGTTGATGCTATTCCTCTCTGTCAGTCAGTTTTCCTTGTAACAGTCAGGTCCTTCAGCTGCAGATCTATTGGAGTTTGCTGGAGGTCCACTCCAGACCCTGTTTGCCTGGGTATCACCAGCGGAGGCTGCAGAACAGCAAATATTGTTGCCTGATCCTTCCTCTGGAAGCTTTGTCCCAGAGGAGCACCTGCCTATATGAAGTGTCTGTCGGCCCCTACTGGGAGGTGTCTCCCAGTTAGGCTACACAGGGGTCAGGGACCCACTTGAGGAGTCTGTGTGTCCATTCTCAGAGCTCAGACGCCATGCTGGGAGAATCACTGCTCTCTTCAGATCTGTCAACCAGGGATGTTTAAGTCTGCAGAAGTTGTCTGCTGCCTTTTGTTCAGCTATGTCCTCCCCACAGAGGTGGAGTCTATAGACCAGTAGGCCTTGCTGAGCTGTGCTGGGCTCTGTTCAGTTTGAGCTTCCTGGCTGCTTTGTTTACCTACTCAAGCCTCAGTAATGGTGGATGCCCCTCCCCCAGCCAGGCTTCCGCCTCGTAGTTCGATCTCAGACAGCTGTGCTAGTAGTGAGCAAGGCTCCATGGGCGTGGAACATACCAACCCAGGCACGGGAAAGAGTCTCCTGGTCTGCCGCTTGCTAAGATCATGGGAAAAACTCAGTATTTGGGTGGGAGTGTCCTGTTTTTCCAGGTACAGTCTGTCATGGCTTCCCTTGGCTAGGAAAGGGAAATCCCCTGAACTCTTGTGCTTGCCGGGTGAGGCGATGTCCTGCCCTGCTTCAGCTTGCCCTCTGTGGGCTGCACCCACTGTCCAACCTGTCCCAGTGAGATGAATCAGGTACCTCAGTTGGAAATGCAGAAGTCACCTGTCTTCTGCATCGATCACTCTGGGAGCTGCAGACTGGAGCTGTTCCTATTCAGCCATCTTCAATAAGCATTTTCTTTGAATATCATGTCAACACTAAAAAAGTTTTACTTTGCTCAACAAAATACTAGCAAACTGAATACAACAGCACTTCAAAAGGTAGTTCACCACAGTCCAGTGCTCTTCATTCCCCGAATGCAAGGTTAATTCAGCATACACAAGTCAATAAATAAGATTCACCACATAAACAGGATTTAAAACAAAAACCAGACACAGAAAAAGCTGCTGATAAAATCCAATATCCCTTCATGATAAAAACTGTTAACAAATTAGGCAGCAAAGAACATATATCAAAATAATAAGAGCCATCTAGGTGGGCAGGGCCAAGATGGCCAACTAGAAGCAGCAGCAAATCAGAGGCTCACATAGAAAAGAGCCATATTATCATGTGAATCCTTCAACAGCAACCAAGGTATCCAGGTTCTCTCATCAGAACTGACTAGGTGGCTGGCGGGATTCCCAGAGAGGAAGGAAGACCAATGTGGTCTGGCAGGCTACCTGAGAGCCACAAGGGGCAGGGGAGCCCCACATCCCAGCCAAGGGAGGTGGTGAGTGAGCATGCTACACAGCCAGGGTAACCATGTTTTTTCCATGGACCTGCGCAACGCATGGGTCAAAAGATCTCACTCATGAACTCATGCCACCAGGGCCTAGGGTCCCAAACCTGGAGCGGGCAGATTTTCAAAGCCTCTCAGCTAGAATCAACTTAAGCTTGCCTAGTTTCCAGCGGGAGGGGCGACTAGCACCACAGCTGTGGCTGCCTGCTATCTAAGCCATTTGAATTCCTTGGGGGAGGGTCGGCAGCCAGCACTGAGACTCATAACTGCCTAACATGCTCAGCTCCCTAGGCAGGGGAAGGACCACATCTATCTCTATAGCTCCAGGCCATGCTTTTCCCCCCGCTGGAGCCAGGGAGGCTGGACAGCTTAGTCCCAATAGGTGTCTCCCACAGCCCCACACACCAGCTGTGGCAGACTGTGGACAGAGTGCCTCTTCAGGGCTTACCCTGACCCATCCCACCTCACTGGGAGGGGCCTCCCTGCAAGAACTCCAACAACTCCAGCTAGAGGCTCAGGGACAGAACCCTGATCTCCCTGAGCCTGAGCCCCTAGGGGGAAGGCTGGCTGCAGTCTCCGTGGACCAGCAGACTTAGCCTTTTTTACTGGTAGTTCTGAGGAATCCAGGCAGCCCAGATGAGTCGGTTCCCCCCAGCAAAGCAGACTCCCTCCACCAAAAGACAGTCAAAGTGCTTTGTTAAATGGGTCCTATTCCCTGTGCTACCCAACAGGGTGAGACCCTCCATCAGGGTGAGACTCTCCAACACTTTATACAGGAGCAATCCTACGGTTATCAGGTTGTTGCCCCTCAAGGTCAGAAGATCCCAGAAGAAGGAACAGGCACCCATCTTTGCTGTTCTCCAGCCTCCTTGAGTGACATCATCAGGTGTGGGGACAAACTAGATGAATAGGTCCCAAACCCCCAGCAAATCACAGCAGCCCTACAGAAGAAGGACCTGACCATTGAAAGAAAAACAAACAAATAGCAGAAAGCAACAACAACAGCATCAACAAGAAAAACAGAAGTCTCCACAAAAACCATATCCAAGGGTCAGCAGCCTCAAAGATTGAAACTAGATAAACTCATGAAGATGAGAAATAATCAATGAAAAAATGCTGAAAACGCAAAAGGTCAAAGTGCCTCTTCTCCTCCAAATGATTGTAGTGCCTCTCCAGCAAGGGCACAGAACTGGATGGAAGATAAGATGGTCAAATTGACAGCAGTAAGCTTCAGAAGGTAGGTAACATAAAACTCTGCCGAGGTAAATGAACATGTTCTAACCCAATGCAAAGAAGCTAAGAATCTTGATAAAAGGTTAGAGGAGCTGCTAACTAGAATAACCAGTTTAGAGAGGAACATAAATGACCTGATGGAGCTGAAAAACAGCACGAAAACTTCGTGAACAATACACAAGTATCAATAGCTGAATTGACCTAGAAGAAGAAAGGTTATCAGAGTTTGAAAACTACCTTGCTGAAATAAGGCATCCAGACAATATTAGAGGAAAAAAAAATGAAAAGGAATGAACAAAGCCTCCAAGAAATATGGGACCAAGTAAAAAGACCAAGCCTATGATTGAGTGGAGTACCTGAAGGAGACGAGAAGAATGGAAACATGCTAGAAAATATACTTCAGGATATTATCCAGGAGAACTTCCCTAATCTAACAAGACAGGCCAGCACACAAATTCAGGAAATACAGGGAACACCATTAAGATACTCCATGAGAAGATCAACCCCAAGACACATAATCATCAGATTCTCCAAGGTCGAAATGAAAGAAAAAATGTTAAGGGCAGCTAGAGAAAAAGGCCAGCCAACCTACCAAGGGAAGCCCATCAGACTAACAGCAGACCTCTCAGCAGAAACTCTACCAGCCAGAAGAGATTAGAGGCAAATATTCAATATTCTTAAAGAAAAGAATTTTCAACCCAGAATTTCTTATCTAGCCAAACTAAGCTTCATAATCCTTTCCAGACAAGCAAATGCTGAGGGATTTCTTCACCACCAGGCCTGCCTTAAAACAGCTTATGAAGGAAGCACTAAATATGGAAAGTAAAAACCAGTACCAGTCACTGCAAAAAGCACAGCAAATTATAAAGAACAATGACACTATGAAGAAAGTGCACCAACTAGTTTGCAAAATAGCCAGATAGCATCATGATGACAGGATCAAATTCACACATAACAATAATAACCTTAAATGTAAATGGGCTAAATGCCCCAATTAAAAGACACCGAATGGCAAATTGGATAAAGGGTCAAGACCCATTGGTGTGCTGTATTCAGGAGACCCATCTCACATGCAAAGATACACATAGGCTCAGAATAAAGGGATGGAAGAAAATTTATCAAGCAAATGGAAAGCAAAAAACAAACAAACAAAAAACAAAAAGCAGGGGTTGCAATGCTAGTCTCTGATAAAACAGACTTTAAACCAACAAAGATCAAAAGAGACAAAGAAGGACATTACACAGTAGTAAATGGATCAATTCAACAAGAAGAGCTAACTATCCTAAATATATATGCACCCAATACAGGAGCACCCAGATTCATAAAACAAGTTCTTAAAGACCTACAAAGAGACTTAGACTCCCACACAGTAATAGTGGGAGATTTTAACACTCCATTGTCAATATTAGACAAATCAACAAGATAGAAAATCAACAAGGATATTCAGGACTTGAACTCAGCTCTGGATTAAATGGACCTAATAGACATCTGTAGAACTCTTCACCCCAAATCCACAGAATATACATTATTTTCAGCACCACATGGCATTTATTCTAAAATCAACCATATAATTGGAAGTAAAATACTCCTCAGCAAATGCAAAAGAGTGGAAATCTAACAAACAGTCTCTCAGACCACAGTGCAATCAAATTAGAACTCAGGATTAAGACATTCACTCTAAACCACACAATTTCATGGAAACTGAACAACCTGCTCCTGAATGGCTCCTAGGTAAATAATGAAATTAGGGGAGAAACAAGAAGTCCTTTGAAACTAATGAGGACAAAGAGACAGCATATCAGAATCTCTGGGAAACAGCTAAAGCAGTGTTAACAGGAAAATTTGTAGCACTAAATATCCATGTCAGAATTCTAGAAAGATCTGAAAATGACTGCATAATAGCACAATTAAAAGAGCTAGAGAGGCGAGAGCAAACTAATCCAAAAGTTAGCAGAAGACTAGAAATAACTAAGACCAGAGCAGAATTGAAGGAGATAGAGACATGAAAAATCTTCCCCAAAGTCAATGAATCCAGGAGCTAGTTCTTTTGAAAAAAATAACAAAATAGACCACTAGCTGGAAGAATAAAGAAGAAAATAGAGAAGAATCAAATAGACACAATAAAAAATGTTAAAAGGGATATCACCACTGACCCCACAGACATACAAAGTACCATCAGAGAATACTATAAACACCTCTATGCAAATAAACTAGAATCAAGAAGAAATGAATAAATTTCTGGACTCATACACTCTCACAAGACTAAACCAGAAAGAAGTCGAATTCCAGAATAGACCAATAACAAGTTCTGAAATTGAGGCAGTAATCAATAGCCTACCAACCAAAAAAAAGCCCAGGACCAGACGGATTCACAACCTAATTCTACCAGAGGTACAAAGAAAAGCTGGTAACATTCCTTCCGAAACTATTGCAAAAAGAGGGACTCTTCCCTAACTCACTTTATAAAGCCAGTATCATCCTGATACCAAAACCTGACAGAGACACAACAAAAAAAGAAAACTTCAGGCTAATATCCCTGATGAACATCAATGCAAAAATCCTCAATAAAATACTGGTAAGCCAAATCAAGTAGCATATAAAAAAATGTATCCACCATATCAAGTCAACTTCATCCTTGAGATGCAAAGCTTGTTCAACCTATGTGAATCAATAAATTAAATCCATCACATAAACAGAAACAAAGACAAAAAACACATGATTATCTCAATAGATGCAGAAATAGCCTTCAACAAAATTCAACATCCCTTTATTTTAAAAACTGTCAATAAAGTAGGTATTGATGGAACATATCTCAAAATAATAAGAGCTATTCATGACTAACCCACAGCCAGTATCATATTAAATGGGCAAAAGCTGGAAGAATTACCACTGAAAACTGGTACAAGGAAAGGATGCCCTCTCTCACCACTCCAATTCAACATAGTATTGGAAGTTCTGGCAAGTGCAGTCAGGCAAGAGAAAAAAATAAAGATATTCAAATAGGGAGACAGAAAGTCAAATTATCTCTGTTTGCAAATCACATGATTCTATATTTAGAAAAACGCATCATCTCAGCCCCAAAACTCCTTAAGCTGATAAGCAACTTCAACAAAGTCTCAGGATACAAAAACCAATGTGGAAAAATCATAAACATTCCTTTACACCAACAGTATACAAGCAGAGAGCAAAATTGTGAATGAACTCCCATTCACAACTGCTACAAAAAGAATAAAATACCTAGGAATAAAGCTAACTAGGGATGTTCAGGACCTCTTCAAGGAGAACTACAAACCCCTGCTCAAGAAAATCAGAGAAGACAGAAACAAATGGAAAAACATTTCATCTTCATGGATAGGAAGAATCACTATTGTGAAAATTGCCATACTACCCAAAGTAATTTATAGATTCAGTGCAATTTCCATCAAACTACCATTGACATTCTTCACAGAATTAGAAAAATACTACTTTAATTTCATATGGAATCAAAGAAGACCCGTATAGCCAAGACAATCCTAAGCAAAAAGAACAAAGCTGGAGGCATCATGCTACCTGAATTCAAACTATCCTATAAGACTACAGTAACCAAAACAGCATGGTACTCATACCATAAAAGATTTATAGACCACTGCAACAGAACAGAGACCTCAGAAATAATACCACACATCTACAATCATCTGATCTTCTACAAACCTCATAAAAACAAGGAATGGGGAAAAGATCTCCTGTTCAGTAAATGGTTCTGGGAAAACTGGCTAGCCATATGCAGAAAACTGAAACTGGACCTGTCCCTTACCCTTTATACAAAAATTAACTCAATATGGATTAAAGGCTTAAATGTAATACCCAAAACCATAAAGACCTTAGAAGAAAACCTAGGCAATATCATTCAGGACATAGACACGGGCAAAGACTTCATGCTGCAAATGCCAAAAAAACAATTGCAACAAAAGCCAAAATTGACAAATGGGATCTAATTACACTAAAGAGCTTCTGCACAGCAACAGAAACTATCAACAGAGTGAACAGGCAAACTACAGAACTGGAGAAAATTTTTGCAATTTACCCACCTGAGAAAGGTCTAATATCCAGAATTTACAAGGAACTTACACAAATTTACAAGGAAAAAACCAAACAACCCCATCAAAAAGTGAGCAAAAAATATAAACAGACACTTCTCAAAAGAAGACATTTATGCAGCCAACAAGCATGAAAAAAAACTCAACATCACTGATCATTAGAGAAATACAAATCAAAACCACAATGAGATACAATCTCATGCCAGTCAGAAAGGCGATTATTAAAAAGTCAAGAAACAATAGATGCTGGTGAGGCTGTGGAGAAATAGGAACGCTTTTCCAGTGGGAATGTAAATTAGTTCAACCATTGTGGAGGACAGTATGGCAATTCCTCAAGGATCTGGAGGCAGAAATACCATTTGACCAGGCAATCCCATTACTGGGTATATACCCAAATGAATATAAATCAATCTACTATAAAGACATATGCACACATATGTTTATTGCAGCACTATTTATGATAGCAAAGTCATGGAACCAACCCAAAATGCTCAGCAATGATAGACTGGATAAAGAAAATGTGGTACACATACACCGTGGAATACTATGCAGCCATAAAAAGGAATGAGATCATGCCCTTTACATGGATGAAGCTGAAAGTCATTGTCCTCAGCAAACTAAAACAAGAACAGAAAACCAAACACTGCATGTTCTCAATCAAAAGTGGAAGTTGAACAATGAGAACACATGGACACAGGGAGGGGAACAACACACACCAGGGCCTTTTGGGGCATGAAGGGGAAAGGGAGAGAACATAGAAGACAAGTCAATATGTGCAGCAAACCACTATGGTACATGTATACCTATGTAACAAAACTGCATGTACTGTACATGTACCCGAGAACTTAAAGTAAAATTTTAAAACAGCCCTCTGGCCGGGCGCGGTGGCTCACTCCTGTAATCCCAGCACTTTGGGAGGCCGAGGCAGGTGGATCACGAGGTCAGGAGATCGAGACCATCTTGGCTAACACGGTGAAACCCCATCTCTACTAAAAATACAAAAAATTAGTCGGGCGCGGTGGCGGATGCCTGTAGTCCCAGCTACTCGAGAGGCTGAGGCAGGAGAATGGAGTGAACCCGGGAGGTGGAGCTTGCAGTGAGCCGCGATAGCGCCACTGCAGTCCGACCTGGGCGAAAGAGCGAGACTCCGTCTCAAAAAAAAGAAAAAAAGAGCCCTCTATGACAAACTCATAACCAAATTCATAGCCAATCATAGTGAATGGGGAAAAGGTGGAAGCATTCCTTCTGAAAACCAGCACAAGACAAGGATGCCTTCTCTCACTACAGCTATTCCACATAGAACTGGAAGTCCTAGCCAGAGTGATCAGGCAACAGAAGAAAATAAAAGGCATCCAAATAGGAAAAGAAGAAGTCAAACTATCCTCCAGTATACAAAATTTGGTAGCATGCATGTAATGTATCTTTATAATAGAATGATTTATATTCCTTTGGGTATATATACCCAGTAATCATCCATACTATTCTTTACATGTGGTATTTTCATCTGGTTCTGATACCAAGATAATATTAGTCTCATAAAGTAAATTGAGAAGTGTTTTCTCCTCTTATAATTTTTGTGAAAATAAAAGTCAAAACATAATGAATGGTGGCAAGGCTGTGAAGAAAAAGGAATGCTGTCCAGCACGATGGCTCATGCCTGTAATCCCAGCACTTTGAGAGGCTGAGGCAGGTGGATCACTTGAGGTCAGGAGTGCAAGACCAGCCTGGCCAACATGGTGAAACCCCATCTCTACTAAAAATACAAAATTTAGCCGGGTGTGGTGACACATGCCTGTAGACCCAGCTACCCAGGAGGCTGAGGCAGGATAATCACTTGAACCTGGGAGATGGAGGTTGCAGTGAGCCGAGATTGCGCCACTGCATTCCAGCCTGTGTGAGAGAGTAAGACTCCATCTCAAAAATAAATAAATAAATAAATAAATAAATAAATAAATAAATAAATAAGGAATGCCTATACATTGTTGGTGGGAACATAAATTAATTCAGCTAATGTGGAAAGTAGTTTGGAGATTTTTATATCCAAAGAAATATAAATCATTCTATTATAAAGATACATGCAAGCATATGTTCATTGCAGCACTATTCACACTAGCAAAGACATGGAATCAACCCAAATGCCCATCAATAATAGAATGGATAAAGAAAAGGTGGTACATATACACCATGGAATACTTTCAGCCCTAAACAGGAATGAGATCATGTTCTTTGCAGGGACATGGACGTGGGTGGAGCTGGAAGTCATTATCCTCAGCAAACTAATGCAGGAACAACCAACCAAAAACGGTATGTTCTCACTTGTAAGTGGGATCTGAACAATAAGAACACATGGACAACAGGGAGGGAAACAAGACACATTGGGGCTTGTGAGGGGCTCAGGGGAAGGGATAGCATCAGGAAGAATAGCTAGTGGATGCTGGGCTTAATACCTATGTGATGGGTTGATCTCAGCAGGAAACCACCATTTCCTTTGTAACAAATGTGAACATCCTGCACATGTACCCCAGAACTTAAAATAGCTTGAAAAAAAAAAAAAAAGAACTTAAAACAGAACTGCCAGGGAAGCCAAAAATACTTCCAAACTCACTCTACAAGTACAGCATTACTCTGATACCAAAACCAAACCAAGATACATTAAAAAAAAGAAAGAAAACTATTGGCCAATATGATTGATGAATATTGATGCAAATACTAGCAAACAAAATTCAACAACACATTAAAAAATTGTTCATCATGACCAAGTCAGATTTATCCTAGGGATGCAAAAATGCTTCAACATATGCAAATCAATGTAATGTAACACACTGTATCAACAGAAGAAAGAACGAAAAACATATAATCATTTCAACTGATTCTGAAAAATCAATTGACAAGATTAAAAATGCCGTCATCATGAAAATTCTCAAAAAAAACAGGTAAAGAAGAAACACTTCAGCATAATAAAAACCATATACAACAGACCCACACATAGTATTATACTGAGTCTGGAAAAACTGAAAACCTCTCCTCTAAGATCAGAAACATGGCAAGGATGCCCACTTTCAACACTGTTATTCAACATAGCGTTGGAAGTTCTAGGAAGAGCAATTAGACAAGATAAAGAAATAAAGGGCATCCAGATGGGAGAGGAAAAACTCAAATTATCCTTGTTTGCATATTATGTGTTCTTATATTTGGAAAAACCTGAAGACTCCACCAAAAAACTATAATAGCTGATAGACAAATTCAGTAAGATTGCAGGATACAAAAATCAATCTACAAAAATTGGTAGCATTTCTATCTGCCAATGGTAAACAATATGAAAAAGAAATTTAAAAATTTCATTTACAATAGCTACAAATAAAATTAAATACCTAGGAATTACGTTAACCAAAGAAGTAGAAGACCCTCACAATGAAAACTATAAAACATCAATGCAATAAATTAAAGAGGATGTGAAAAAAATGTAAAAATTCCTTGTTCGTGGGTTGGAAGAATCAATATTTTTAATATGTTCGTACTACCCAAAGCAATCTCCAGATTCAATGCAGTCCTTATCAAGATACCATTGACATTCTTCACAGAATCAAAAAAAAATTCTAAAATGTGTATGAAACCACAAAAGACCTGAAATAGCCAAAGCTATCTTGAGCAAAAATAACAAAACTGTAGGAATCACAATACCTGACTTTAAATTACACTGTAGTTATCAAAATGTCGTAGTACTGGCATAAAAACCGACATGTAAATAAATGGAACAGATTACAAAACTCAGAGATAAATTCATACATCCACAGTGAACTCATTTTTGACAATGGTGCCAAGAATATTCATACGTTGGTGAGAGGACAGTCTCCTCAATAAATGGTGCTGAAAAATGAAACTAGATATCCATGTGAAAAAGAATGAACCTAGACCCCCAACTCTTGCCATATACAAAAATCAAATCAAAATGAATCAGAGACTTAAACACCTCAAACTATGGAACTATAACAAAAAATGGAGAAACTCCCCAGTCCTTTGGACTGGGCAAAGATTTTTTGAGTAACACTACGGAAGCATAGACAACCAAAGCAAAAATGGACAAATGGAATTATATCAAGTTAAATACCTTCTGCACAGCAAAGGAAACAATCAACAATGTAAAGACAAAACCCACAGAATGGGCAAAAAATTTGCAAACTATTCATCTGACAAGGGATTAAAAACCAGAATATATAAGGAGCTAAAACAACTCTATAGGAGAAAATTTTAATAATCTGATTTAAAAATGGGCAAAAGTTCTGAATAGCCATTTCTTAAAAGAAGACATACAAATGGCAAACAGGTACATGAAAAGGCGCACAACATTAGAGAAATGCAAATCAAAACTACAATAAGGTATTATCTCATGCTAGCTAAAATGGCTTTTATCTGATAGGGAATACAAGTGCTAGCGAGGATGTGGAAAAAGGGAACCCTCATACACTGTTGGGGATAATGTAAGTTAGTACAACCACTATAAAGAACAGTTTAGAGGTTCTTTAGAAAACTAAAAATAAGCTGCCATGTGATCTAGCAATTCCACTGCTGGGCATACACTCAAAAGAAAGGAAATCAGTATATCAAAGAGATATCTGCATTCCTATGAATATTGCAGCACTATTCACAATAGCCAAGATTTGGAAGCCAACTAAGTGTTCATGAACAGATAAATGAATAAAGAAAATGTGGTACTTATTCATAGTGGAATACTATTCAGCCATAAAAAAAATGAGATTCAGTCATTGGCAACAACATGGATAGAACTAGAAGTCATTAGGTTAAGTAAAATATGTGAGGCACCGAAGGACTAAGATCACGTGTTCTCACTTATTTGTAGGAACTGAAAATTAAAATAATTGAACTCAGTGAAATATAGAGAAGAAGAATGGTTACCAGAGGCTAGGAAGCATACTGTGGGGTGCAGGGAAATTGGGGAGGGTTATTTCCCCCAAAAACTGTTAAAAAGAAGGATTAAGACCTAGTATTTTCTAGCAAAACAGGGTGACTAAAGTCAATAATAATTTAATTGTACATTTAAAAATAACTAAAAGAGCATAACTGAATTATTTGTAATACAAAAGAGAAATACTTGAGGTATGGATGCCTCACTTTTCACAATGTAATTATTATGTATTGCATGCCTGTATCAACATATCTCATGTAACCCATAAATATGTTATGTGTATACACATAAATATATACCTAAAATTGAAAATTAAAGAAAGAGAGAAAAAACAAACTGGACTATCATTTAATCTAGGAATCCTCTTATGGAACATATATCCAAAAGAAAATAACTCATTCTTTCAAAAAGACACATGCACTCATATATTCATCACAGCACTATTCATAATAGCAAAGACAGTGAATCAATCTAGGTGTCATTAAGGGTGGATTGGATAAGAAAATGTGGTGCATATACGACATGGAATACTACACAGTTATAAAAAGAACGAAATCATATCCTTTGGAGTGGCATGAATGCTTCTGGAGGACATTATCCTAAGCAAATTTACTCAGAAACAGAAAACCAAATACTGTGTATTCTCATTTATAAGTGGGAGCTAAACGCTAGGTACACGTGGATAGAAAGATGGGAAACAATGGACACTGGGTTCTACTAGAGGAAGGAAGGAGATAGAAAGACAAGGGTTGAAAAACTACCTATTGTGTACTATGCTCACGACTTGGATGACAGGACCAATTGTCACCAAAACCCCAGCATCATGCAATATTCTTAGGTCACAAAAGTGCACATGTACCTCTTAATGTAACTTTTCAATTTAAAAATGTGGGAGGTAATGGGAAAAAATTTAGGTTTGGGAGAATTTTGGATTTTGAATTTTTGGATGAGGAATAACCACATTTAGGGCTAGATACCTTGACCAGAATGGAGTTTCAGTACTCCTCTCCAACCTCTTCAACCCCGCAACACACATACACATCGGCCCACAGGCATTCATACAGCCTACTTCTTTTAATGTCCTAGGAAGAGATAAAAACATCTTGTCAATGTCACTCAGTGATGAGCATCTGTGCCCTATAATCTGGAAGCTCAAATGAAAATCAGACCTAAAAAGAGAAAGTCTGTAGACCTTTGCTCTGATGTAGAATCTTTAGCCAGAAAAACTGCGACAAATACAGCGAAATGAATAACAAAAATAAAAAAGTACTTTCACCTGCAACAAGCATAGCAACATGCATATCTAAGCATTGAATGACCCTCCCCGGGGTTTTTAAAATCTGCTCTGGATCTGATAGCCATGAAGGATACAGGTAAATTCGAGTCCATTCATTCCATCTCTTCAGGGCAGGCCAGATCTGCTTTCTATGTTTCCAACTGCAATAGTCTAGCATCCAGGGTAGTCAAGTGGTAGAAGCATCTTTAGCCCACCTTTCAGAAAATATCCTCCTTTTCACTGGATAAGGGATATTCTTGCCAATGTTTGATAAGTGTCAGAGTAAAAAGCCACTTGTGAAATGTTGGCAAGAAACATCTGTGAATAAACCACCTCACAAATCCCAAGACTGGCTCTTGCCTGAAGAAAAAGAAGAAATATTGTTTTTTTTCTAAGTCAGCTAAGGCATGCAATGGAATTCACTTTGTTTTCTATACACTGGATTATATTTCTAGTGAATATATTCAAAATTCAGTGAGTATATTGTTACTGATATTTGACAAGTGTGCTGTATGTGGTGCAGATATTAGAGCAGCGTATTCCCTGAGTTCAAGAAGTCATCAATTTAGTAGAGAGTAAGAGAAAGGTAAAATGGGGCAGAGGAAAGTGACTGGTCCATGGAAAAGACATACCTATATGTGCATTTCAAGAGTGATATTTACTAACTGATTTAAGTTAATCATGAGCTCTGAAATGCAATTGCCTCATCTATAAAGGGGAGGATAATAATTCATACACAAAAGATATCTGAAGCATCACAAGTGTATGGAATAATATAGGATATGTAATACTCAATCTCTACAGTATAATTCTATTAATAGCTTCTCAATTTATCAACTTCAAAAATAATTTTAATTAGAATTAAACAATATTCACCAAAAATATTTACACAAAATTTTAACTAAATACAAAAATGGTACAACAGAACAAAAGTGAAAATCTAGAAAGGGTTGATTACGGAAGAAATACATAATATTGGAGGAAAAAAGTTCTTATGGACAACAGAAATATTGAAGAAGAATTAATTTATTACATAGTTGACACAGAAGTAATGAAGACATATAAATATTATACAAAGGAAGGTGTGAGGGAAAAATAATGGAAATAGCTCTGTATATAACCATGGACACTTTCTTTAATCCAATCTTTTAGTCAATGGTAATGGTAATAAAATATATTGAATAATAAATTAAAATTCTATATAGAACCATGTCTATCACAATTAAAGGAAGGTTTTTAACTAAGTCTTGTTCCAGTTAAATAAAGTAGGTAAGAGATGAGATGGAGACAGGTGTCTCTGCAAATATTTTGTGAAATTAAGGAAGTAGATGGTTATTTTTCTTCAGGAGAGCACCATGATATGATTGGAATTTACACAGTGGAATGTGGAGCTAGGTGTAATATTGGAGTCATAGATAACTAAATTGGAGTTTCTGATAGTCATCTGGAAAGGAGGAGTAAAAAGTAGTGAAAGAAAAGAAAGAGACAGAAACCAGCAAGACTGATGTTGAGAAAACAGTGGACCGACAAAGGGCTGCAAAGACAGAGGCAAAAGTCATGCAGAAGGCTGGGATCAAATGATTTTAAAGAACAATTCCATCTAATATTAAAGTCTACTAATTACACTGAAGCTAGAAATGTTTGGGTCTTTTGTGTGGTATCATCGTTTTTGATCATGGAAAAAGTTAATTCTACCTTAGGATATGGTCAGCACAATGTGGAACCAGTCTGTCTCCTGAGGGAGGGCATCTCATTATAGACAATATGTAATTTAACTATATGAGCAGAGCCAAGACCTTCAGGCCATAGGTGACCAAGAGAATGCAAGTCCCAGGAAACTGCCAAACATGGTGAATGAAAAGATTCAAATGACTTTTATTTAAACCTTGATAAGGAAGTTAACTGAGTTAAGTTACAAAGTAGAAATATCTTTAATGATAGCAGTTGTTTAACACCTTCTTTATTCTGGACTATGCTAAATATTTTGCCTATATTAACTCATTACATCCTTAGAACAATGATATTTATATTCACATCTATTAGTAAGGAACTCAAAGAAAGCCCAGAGAAGCTAAATAAATGAAATTAATTTACCAAGTACTAAGTGGCTGTGTCAGTCTATAAAAGCAAGGATCTTACACCAAAGCTTACATTTACAATTATTCAGATATATTCTGTTTTATGTACTTCATACTTCTAGGTAAAACCCACTTTAAGGTAGGACCCAAATGTGCCTTGCTTGTTTTTCTGCTTCTCTGCCCTCTGCTTCCACTATTCTATAAATACTTGATGTCTGGGCAAATTGGACTGCTGAATGATCCCAACATTGCAGACCTTTTCTATGTGGAGTCAAATTCTAATGTACTCCAGCATAGATCATTTTCCACTGAATTCTCTATTATTGCTCACAGTTTAAGGAAAATATTTTGTACTATAGAGGAATTCAATGATTACTAATTCAGTGTATATATATTATATATACACTCATAGGTTACTCTATTATATATACTCTCATAGATTTAATAATCTATGAGAATTACCCATAGCCCTCCCACCCTGGGTTTATCCTATGTAATTAATACCAAGGAAGATGGGATTCAAACAATGCTATTTTTTTAGAAGCACTGTTACCTAGGAAGGGAGAATACACTGCTTGAGAGTCTTCTGTGTTAAGGTAACTTCCAAATAGTGAACCTAAAGAAAGATGGACATTGAAAAAGCCTCACCTTCTCTGGAGAACTTTACCCCAATGTGTTGGATACTCTTTACTGAATTTTTTTTCCACATGCTTGACTGATTGATAATAAGTCCTGTTAAAGATGTAAGTCACCTGAAACCATGCACATCACTTGGGAAACAAGAGGGTCTTCACATGAATGACTAGACAGTTATTTAACAACTAAGGCAGAATAGATGAGTATCTGTGAGTGACACCTTTGGTCTCTGCTTTGTATGGTGAAAGTGGAATCAAGACATCATCAGATATAGAATTAATAATTTTCTTGACATGTGTATGTCAAGGTGGCTCCTGAGGCATCACAGGTGTGTGAAAGTAAAGTTGCCTAACTCAGTTTGATGAACCATATGGGGGAGAAAAAGACGTATATGCTTGGACCCCTAGTTTTGCTAAGATTTATCACAGTAGAAAAGTGGTTAACTGTCTTATATGAAAAATGAAATATAGCTCATTCACACTGCCAGATCTCTCTCTTGTTCTACATAATATTTGATGGTGGTGAGATTTCCGATTATTTCCTTGATTCATTTTGAAATAATAAGTAATATACTTTACTCTCATTTCTTCTTTCATCAGTTTTGCACAGTAGCTTAATTCTCTTCTGTGTAAGTTGATCAGAGTTTCCCGGGTGCAATTTACTCCATCTTTTCTCACCTCCAGTTATCCCTTTTGTCCCCAATGTCTTATTGTGGTAAAAATACATACCACAAAATTGACCATCTTAACATTTTTAAATGTAGTGTTTGATACTAAATCCATTCATAAAGTCATATAAGTGTCACCCCCATTTACCTTCAGAATTCCTCTTTGTCTGGCAAAGCTCAAATTCTATATCATTAACTAATAACTCCCCATTTCCTCCTCCCCACAGTCCCTGGCCATCACCATTCTACATTCTGTCTCTATGAATTTTATACCCTAGGTACCTCATGTAAGTGAAATCATGCAGTATGTGTTTTTCTATTGCTGCCTTATTTCACATAGCATAATGTCAAGGTTCATCCATATTGTAACAAATGTCAGAACTTCCTTCTCGTTAAAGGCTGAATAAAATTCCATTATGTGTATACACCACATTTTGCTTATCCATTTATCAGTTATCAGATAGTTCCACATTTTAGATATTGTGAACAATGCTGCTATAAATGTGGGTGTATAAATATATCTTTGAGACCCTGCTTTCAATTACTTTAGTTATGTACCCATAGGTGGAGTTTCTGGAGCATATGGTAAGTCTACTTCTAATTTTATGAGGCAATACCATACTGTTTTCCAAGGTGGCTGTACCATTTGAAATTCTCACCAATAGAGCACAGGATTCCAATTATTCTACATCCCTTCAAACCCTTGTTATTTTCTGTTTTTTGGGGCTTTTTTTGATGGGAGTCATTCAAATGGGTATGAGGCAGTATCTCACTATAGTTTTCGGCAACATCTTTCATCCTATTGTTGGGGATAAATCAGTCAGTTTTCTTCATCAGCCAAGTATAGATATTTCATGAGCCATAAAGCTCGAAAATCCAGTTAGCTTCCTCCACTTCATTTCCACTCACCCACCATTTTCATTGAGATTATATTCTCTATTAGAAAAAGACACAGTTCGTTTGTCTTCACTTTTATTGAAATACAAAATGTTAAATATGCAAGCTGTACTAATGAAGGTGCTCCTTGAAGTTGATTAAGGAGGGCTGGGCTGCTTGTGGCTTCCTGCAGGGGAGAGAAAAAACAGAAGGTCAAGATGGTTACCCCTTGCTGCCTTCATCCCATCCCTCATCATGATTCTTCTTGCATCCTCTTCCATGTGCTCTTGCCACTTCCCTTGACTTCCATCTGTGACATCTTAGTCTATTCACCAAAATGTGATCTTTGTAAAACCTAATTTAAAGCATATTACTTCTTTTTTCTAAAGCACTAGAAAGGCTTCCTGTCTCGCTCAGATAATAATTTTTAAAGGTTTACCATGTGATAACATAGAACCACGCGATCTGGCTTCTCACTGCTTCTCCTAATTTGTCTCTGCCATTTTCTCCACTCACGTTCTCTTTTGGTCACACTGTCTCATTGCAGTTCTTTAAACATGTTTAGTGCATTGCTATCCCAGGGCATTTGCACTGGCTGTATTCTGTGCTGGAACACTTTTCCTGCATAAGAACCACATTATTCACTCCCCAACTCTGTCCATTCTTTGTTCTGATTTCATTATTTCAAGAAAAGCTTTTGAGTGAAATATCTATAGGAGTACAGCATCCATCATTCTGTGTTTTCCTTTGTCTTCCTTTATTTTTCCTTTTATCTTTTTTTGCTCTCCGGCCTGTGATATATTTACCACTTTATGTCTTCAGAGTCTGTTTCTACTCACTAGAATATAAGCTTTCAGAGTGTAAGAAATCTATTTACGTTGTTAATTGGCATATTCCAAGCATCTAGAACAAAACCTGGTGCACAGTTAGTGTTGGCAAATATTAGTCAACAAACAATTCAATGTCCAAATGCAGCCCCACTGGATGGATTAGGCACTGAAAGCTGTTATGCTGAAATGATGCAATATTGTGACTGAAGTGTCAGAAACCAAGAGTAAAAATTATGTGGTAAATGTTGGAAGTATTGAGAACAACTTTATACATTTCACTATAAAATATAATTTTAAGTATGTATCTTAGAGGGAGATTGATAATAGTCTTATAGTCTAGTGTTAAATAAAGCTATTATGAGTGAAGAAAGTCATCATTTAGTCCAGACTCAATGTACCCATTCTATAATATTTTGGTCAAAATAATAACAAAAGTTACATGGGAGCTTGAAGGAACTTCTGGACTGTGATTGAAGATTCAAAAGCCAACCCTGAGTGATTGGTGATCTGCATTGTGAGAACAGTCTGAGAACCAGAGCCTGGATCAACACAAACTCTACAGTGTAGGATGTATTCTGTACCATCTGGTAATGGTATCTGGATGTCAGTAATGTGGTATTTGCTGTGACATCCTCACTCAGAGGATCAAAATGCTGCTTTCTCCAGAGTTAGCTCCTTTGTTTACTCTGTTTTGTTTAGGGTTTGATGCAATGTTTGGCTACTTAGTGTCTCTCTCTCTCTCTCTCTCTCTCTGTGTGTGTGTGTGTGTGTGTGTGTGTAAGAAAGGGGAATAAAAGAGAAAGACTATGAGAGATAAATGAATATAAATAGTAATGGAAGCATGAGCATGTTTCTATTTTAATAATTACTATCCTTGGTTTTTCATCATCACATTCTGCTGCGGTTTTCCTTACCTCCTTGATTGATTGATTGATTGCCTGATTAATTGTAGAGTTGGAGGAATCCAAATACATGTAAGTCGGAAAGAAGTAGCAGATAATCACCAGACTATATCAACAAAAACACCAATTTGACCATCCAAGTACTCAGCTGTCATTTGTCATTGAACTTAACCACCAATATCACTCTCTTATTTATTTCACATACCACCAACAACTCTCAATACTTAACCATTTTCAATTGCCAGGAAAGAGGTAGAAATATCTTGTCATGGACAGTCGTTCTATGGTGGGCATTTGAGCTTTGGCCCTTGGAGTTTCAAATGATTGCTGTACCTGAAAAAGAAAATAGGCTGTAGATGAGATACGACTCTTTTCAAGTCTCAGAAAGCATCTTTCACCATGTACCAGACAACACCTGGAATGAAGTGAGCTTGCAGGTTTCATAGAACCAAGCCCATGGGCATTCTAACTCCTCAACATTGTACCCTACCTCTTAGAATTGCCACTCCATGTCAGACTGTATGCTTTACATCAAAATAAACACCTCATGTCTAATCCAAGGTCTTTCAACATTCATTTCCTCTATTTTCCATTTCTGACCTACAGATCTGACAATAAGTTATCCCTTGAAAACTATTCATGAAAACCAGATAAGGAAGGACTCTGTACTTTCAACACTCACCAAGGCTGATTCCTCAATTGAAGGAGAATTTAATCCCAGTATCTTATCTTTCTTTTTTTTTTTTTTTTTTAAGATGGAGTCTTGCACTGTTGCCTAGGCTGGAGTGCAATGGTGCAACCTCGGCTCACTGCAACCTCCGCCTCCAGAGTTCAAGCAATTCTCCTGCCTCAGCCTCCCAAGTAGCTGAGGTTACAGGTGCCCACCACCACGCCTAGCTAATTGGTTTTTTGTATTTTTAGTAGAGACGTGGTTTCACTATGTTGTCCAGGCTGGTCTCAAACTCCTGACCTCATGATCCTCCTGCCTCTGCCTCCCAAAGTGCTGGGATTACAGGCGTGAGCCACCGTGCCCAGCCCCAGTATCTTATCTTTAAGACCCAAACACTGAACAACTTTCATATCTCCACCACCAAGCTGATCTTGTAGTTTTTTTGCATCAACTAATTGGTAAGTCTACTTATCCTAAATCCAGAATTTTTAGTTCCTTTTTCTATGAACATCCTTGAAAGTACAATGTCTAACTCCCACTTATCCAAGAAGATTTAAAAGATTTAACTTCCCAGATCTCTATTCACAGGAGCTCTGTCTCAATTTATGCTGCATTTCCTCCTCCTTCTCCTCCTCCTTCTTCTTATTTCACTACTTTTCTTTCTTTTTCTTTTTTTAAGACAGGGTCTTACTCTGTCATCCAGGCTAGAGGGTAGTGGTGAAATCTCAGCTCATTGCAACCTCCGCTTCCTGAGCTCAAGCGATTCTCCCATCTCAGCTCTCAGGTAGCTCGGATTACAGGTTCCAGTCAATATGCCCGGCTAATTTTTGTATTTTTTGTAGAGATGGGTTTTGCCATGTTGCCCAGGTTGGCCTCAAATTCCTGGGTTCAAGCCACTCCACCCTCCTTCGGACTCCCAGAGTGCTGGGATTACAGGAATGAGTGACTGTGCTGGTTCTGGATGGCTTTCTTCTATAAACGCCAGAGGTGTATCTTTCTTTTCCCGCAGGAGTTTTACTGTTCTCTACAATTTTTACTTTATTAATAATTATACTATTCTGTGTTAATACCAATCCCATTTTCTCTTTAAACAAGAGGGTGCATTTATCTGTGTATTTATGCATGTATTTATTCAATAATTATTAATTGAATATCTGCTACGTGCCAGGTTTGTTGAATTGCTGAGCAAATCCCTGCCATCACGAAGTTTGCATGTTAGTGAGTAAATACAAGTAAAAAACCAGACACATAAATAAACTATTAATATTTGCTGAGTGGGTAGATGTACGAGCTATGGAGAAAAATAACATAGGAAGTAGTGGGAATAAGGAATGTCCCAAGTTGGGCAAGAAGTAGCAAACCTTTCCTTCTGCACTTTTTTATTGAAAGAATGACTTCTTTTTTGTTCCCTCTCACATGTCTTTATGGATCCTATCACAATCTGTAAGCACATATTTGTTTGTTAACCCACATTTTCAGTATCCATATCTCCCACGAAAATGTGAGTCCTAGATAGGATTACGTCATGTAGGCCTCATTTACCCCTCTGTCACCAGGAGGAAATCCATGACCTAGCAGACCACCCAGATTTTATTCATTTAATAAATTAAGAAATAAAAATTATTTCAAAATATTTTTCCTTCTCTAAAACTTAAGAACTTACGCTCCATAACATAAAGCTTATGGTTGATATTATTTTATTTTACTTTGATCTTCTGCTGGGATATATTGGAATTGTCTTTTCCTTAGCCATATTTTAAACAACTGAATGACAGAAACTGGGTACCTCTCTACTTTCACTTCCCTGACAAAAATTGTCATTGTGAAGTAAAAAGTGAATCATGACAAATTCTTCCTGAAGAAATAAATGAGTAACTAGAAAAGAGACACTTACCTTCCGAAATACTTCCTCTAGGTGGCAGCACCAAGAATATTTCTGGAAGCATGTGATGAGTTGTGTGATGAAGATAGAGCCCATTGTGCTGTCTCTCCAGGACACGTTGTCTATAATGATACAGATGGGTATGCCTTGGGCTATGACTTTCACTATGTTTTTGTTCATATTTTTGTTTTGAGAATGTTTTTAAAAAGAAAAGCATAGCTTGGGAATTATCTTTACAGATTTGTAGGAAGCACTTACAACCTGACATTTACCTACTTTCCACAGAACGTAAACAGAAAACCTAGCAAAAGGTGATCAAAAGTTGCAGTTGGTAAGCATTGCAAGAGATTGTGTATTGAAGAAATTTTGATTCTTGGGATTGGCTTTCTACTACAAAACTCATGTTCATTCTCTCAGCTTTTATAGGGGCTTGAGAAATAACTAGAATTATCCCACTTTACAGAGGAAGAAATAGAAGCACAGAAAGATGAAGGAACTTCCCCATGTTCACACAGTGAGTAAGCAACAAAAAATTGCCACCAGGCTCCAAAGTTGTTTGCAGATTATGCCACACTGTCTTTCACCGTATAATAGAAATAGATGAACACATGACAAGTTTCAGTGATAGAAGCTGAAAAAAGTGATAAAAATCTATTGTACAGGGTGGTGCCAGTAGTAACCAACATTGTGTTATGTACTTGAAATTTGTTAAGAGAGTAGATTTTATGCTAAGTATACTTCTCACACGCAGTCACGGAATGATGATAATAATAAACAGAGAAGTGTAAGAATCTTTTGGAGAAGAGAGATATGTTTATGGCATAGATAGTGGTGATGATTTCAGGAGTACATAGAAATCTCCAAACTCATTAAGTTGTATACATTAAATATGTAACATTATGTATGTCAATCATACCTCAATAAAGTGGTTTTAAAAAATAAGATTTAAAAATATACAAATCAAAAACAGTTAAATGTACGCTCCTTAAGATAATTACCTAGACATGAAATACTAACCAGTGTTCCCTGAGATTAGACCTAATCAGCCCCACCCTATCATTTTCTACTTGTTTTAAAGGGTATCCACAGTTCTAGCAGGGCATGCAATGGCACTGCTCATTGTAGAATCAGATGTGAAATATGGAAAGAAGACTTGAAGTTGATCATTTGAGAAAGAGAAGCCATTCCTGGAATCCATAAAAACACTATGTAAAATGTTAAATGGGCTTAATAAAAAAAACAGAATTCATCATCTGTTTAAATGGTGAGTGGTGAATGGGTTTCCATGTATCGGGTTGCTTTAGGAATCTGTTCTCACGGCACACATAAGATCATGTAAAATATGTGGAGAGCACACAACATTCTATCAGATCATTGTTTCATAGGGATTCTTGATTTTCTAGATTCATTCAAAGATGGCCTCAGGCCCACAAATCCCTTACTGCCACTGAAAGATACATACGTGGCGTTGAAGAGCAGAAAGCAATGAAGTCCTTCTCCACGTGGGTCTTGTAAACAGCATCTTCCTCTAGGTTCTCAGATGACTGTGAAGAGGCCACTTCCAAGGATGCTGGAGAGTCTCTGACCCACAGTTCCCCACGGTTTGCTATGGAGACATTAACTTTCTGCACACTGCTGTGCCTCCCACAGAATGGCTGTCACAGTTGCCCACCTTGTTCTTTTTGAATGTTCATTCTTACTAGTTTCATACATACAGACCCACACACATACAAACACACACAGAGAGAGACACACACACACACACACCACTTTTCTTTCTCTCCAGTGTCATTCAACAATGTGCCTACTGATAGTGAAATCATCTTGAATTTACCATTTTCTAGAAAAAAAATCTGTTTTCTTTTGAAAAATAGCTCCCAAGAGCTATCAGACAATTGGTCTCAAATTCCTGGCCTCAAGCCATCCTCCTGTCTTGGCCTCCCAAAGTGTTGGGATTATAGGCATGAGCCACCATCCTCAGCCAGCCATGAGGCAATTGAATCTTTGGAGCAAAGTGGCACTGCAACATTCTACAGTCCCCTGATCTCTTTACTAATTTCCCCCTCAATAATTATAAGAAAAAGGGATGCTGTTTTACATAATGGCCCCAGTTTCAAATGAAATTCTTCTCAAACCACACAATGTCAAAATTTCTGTAAAACATTTACAAATCAAGCTATCATGAAAATGATTCCATTCCAAAGTTTGAGTATTTCTGTTTAACTTTGATTTAGGGATTCTGATGATCTCCTTCACCACTTACTGTGGATAAAATTGAACAGAAATTTCTCCACTAATTTTGATGAGACAATTTCTTGTTATACCAGACCCTTAGGTAGAGTTTCTTTAGAATTCAATGTACTTTATTTACACTGGATGAGGTTTAAGAATGTTGCCCCTAAATATAAACCAAACATCACAATCC
The DNA here is from genome assembly GCF_000001405.40 of Homo sapiens. Classification (NCBI taxonomy): domain Eukaryota; kingdom Metazoa; phylum Chordata; class Mammalia; order Primates; family Hominidae; genus Homo; species Homo sapiens. The sequence continues at coordinate 248,629 of NW_025791791.1, forward strand.
TCTGCATACACCTTCATAACTGTTAGATGTTCAGTCTCAGCACTCACCACCTCTGCAGGCCTGGACAATGATGACCTTGGGTTTGTCCTTCAGACTGAGGCAGTTGCGGTTGTTGAATATCTGGAAGATGGTGTCATAAAGCAGCACATCTGGTTTTTTCTCATCATGCACAGTTCCGCAGATTCCCTCCAGGATGCCATGAGACATGAGTACCAAGAATGTGCTGTCAGAGGACTTGTGCTCTGGTCTGGTAGCAAATGCCCTCAGCGCTGACTCCATATCCTGTAAAAGAGCAATGTCTAACTTCAGTCAGAGAAGCATCACAATTAAAGGGGACTCCTAGATTTACCATGAGCGAAACAAGAAACATATGTAACATCCAGGTCGTGGTGCTTCACTTAGTGCTTACTCAGTCATGACAGCTGTTTAATGGTTTTATTTTTCCTTCTTTATGGGGCCGTGGATTCCCATTTTCTCTTCCTGCTGACATACTGTCTTCTTAGTATATTGTATATTGCTATGTGTTACTCATGTTACTTTTTCTTTTCCATCTCAATCTTCTATCTCCTTACCTAGCAAGTCATGTGTTATAAATGCAACACACCATGTTCTTTGTAAAATCCATCCCACTATGCTTAGAATAGAATCAAACTTCTGGCCTGACCATACACCACCCTCATACTATGTTCCTTCTCCTTCAACCTCTAGTCACACTGGTCTTCTCTTTGTGCTTCTCGTGTGCCAGGTTCATTTTCAGCTCAGCTCTTTCACAGGTGGCGTCTCCTACTTTGAAGGCGCTGCATTCATGTCTTTCCAGAGCCATCTCCAACCAACCCAAAAACGTTGCTCCCCACCCTACAATTCTGTCTCATATTTCCTTTTTATTTTCTTTTTACTTACTTTTGGCTGTCTTGTCGCTGTTTTGTAGACACACATATGCACACCTGGTGCTTGAAGTTGTCTTTTTTCTTACAATTTCACTGTTTCTCTCTACTGTAACCTAGATGAATGCTGGCTGGGAACTTCCTGTCTCATTTACAGACCTATTCCCAACGTTAGGAATAGCTCTTAGCACCAAGTTTAGGATTCAATATTTGTTTTATAAGTATACTGCCATTTAACATTCATTACTCTACAATTTTCTGGGGATTTTCGGGGCTGCATCCCAATCACATGATTTTGGAATTCAATAAGAAATGTGAAAACACGTGTCAATCATGTTTAGTCTAGTTTTCCAGAATTGAGGATATTTGGAGGACCAAAGAGACATAGATTTACCAGTCTAGTACTCTTATTTTGTATACACACACACACACACACACACACACCCAAAGGTTGTTAAACCTTGTTGAGCTCTTTGAAGCTAGGTAGTTATTAGAAGGATGTGTCTTGAATATGTATGTGTTTGTGGCGGCTGAGGGATTCTTACCCTGGCTGTCAGATTCTCTTCTACATCTACACTATAGTCCAGACCCTCAAGTAGCTCCTTCATCCCTGTGATGTCAAAGTCAGCTCCATTCCTCGGAGGCAGATGGTCAAACTCTGTATTGCATATGATGAGAGCCAGGCGTGTGCGGTTGTTTCTCTCCTTTATTGGATAGATCTGCAGGATATGGAGATGCAATAAATTTAATTTACTCAAGTCTCCTTTCAGCCTCCTTATGCCTATCAGTGTTGCTTTTTCAAGTCTTCATGCAGCTCCTCTCTGCTCTAACTTGTATCAAAAGACACTGACTTTCTCTCTCTCAAGAACCCAGGGAAAGAACCGGACATATCTGAAATTGTTATTAAGAATCTTGAGGAAACTAGATAATTCCTATGCCTTTTCTTCTCCCTTTTCTTCTTCACCTACTCCAATCTTTCTTAGCATTCAAAGTTCAGGTCAAATTTCATACAAAACGAGATGTTGTCGTTGACTCCAGTGAAAAATGAATACAGCAAAAGTCTTTGCCTTCGGAAGCATAGCTATTTTGTTACTATTTTTAACACATAAATTTATAATGTTTTTCAAGCTTTAATTATATTTCCCAAGTATCCTTCATGTCTAGACTTTTCAAGTAGAGTGCAACCAATTACAAGTCAGCTATATTATCCTCCAAATATGTTTATTCCATGGCTAATGCTACAATTGCCATAAAATCCAAATAATTACAAGAATAAATACAGGAGCAATAGAAATACCAATTTTCTTTCAACTCATGATAAAATGATCTGCATCATGGATTGAGAAAGGATTGGTATCATTGTGAAGTCACATAATCTTTCCCTTAGTAAAAGCATTATTGAAAATGGTTACTGTCATCCCCACCCCCAATCATTTAGTGCTGTAAGAAATGGTGCACTGAAGGAAAGCAATGATATCTCTTCTTTTTTTTCTATTTCATATAGATAGCATAGCACCTCTTCAGCTCTTTCTTTACATAGTCTCAGGAATTCTTCATGAGGACAAAGCTTGAGGGCATCTGTAGATTCTCCTGACTCAGGTGGTCCAGCCTCCATATTCGGATGAGCTGCAGGATATTGCAGAACATAAATTGTGATTTCTGCCTCTGTGACCCAATTTATCACCTAAGAAGATCGAGAGAGAAGACGTCCTGGGAAGATTTCTTCACATATAGGGGTTTTAGTTGTATCTCATATCTAGTATTCTACATCAGGAGATGTATTGTTACTGGAAAAGATAGAAAAGCAGATCCACCCAAACATGTAATCATATATTCTGATCATTCTGGGGAAAACATGTCAATGATGTTGGGGTTAAATTTGGCCTTTCCTTATACCGTCAAAAGAATTTGATTTTTCCAAAGGTTTTACTCCAGGATACTCATTTATCTGTGTGGACTTTCTATTGTGTCTGTGCAAGAGTATACTGAGTAAATAGTTGTCAGAACACTATCTACTACAAATTTAATGTGTGTTCCATGTCCAATATTTAATTTCTACTATCACATGTAAAAAGTAAAATTAAACAGGTAAAATTAATTCTAATAACATTTATTTAACATAACATACAAAAAGTATTATTTTAACATGTATTTTTAGCCACAAGCCAAATGCTTAATAGTTATCCCATACAGGATGGAACAAAATCCTATTTTGGAGTAATCGTCCCCTCCTAATCCCCACTACACATACAGATAAATACATACATACACCAAAGCACAGAATATTGAATCTTGTACTTTCAAGGCATTATTTTTTTAGCAACTTTACTGTTAATTTTTAATGATTCTAGAAGAAATGAACTTCAATTATCCCTGTGCAAATTGTAAAGCCAGCTATTTGTAAAGCCAGCCAGTCTGAGCTCTGGAGATGTAACAAGTTGTAAGAGTGTGTATGAATATCAAACCTTCTGAGCATCTCTTTTCATAGATTACACAGTGATATATGACCTTCGGTCCTATTTCAGAAAATTCTGCCAATGTGAAGACATGCTGGATCCTGGATATTCCCTGGTCAGAGGGTATGTTTTCTAATCCAAAGTTTCCTGTTTCCACTTCACTTACAGGTTTAGAGAACTTCATAACTTAGTCATCTCCTAATGATCATTATGTGTGTGTGTGAGATACAGTGTTTTCAGGTAAAATTAGAAATTAGATAGAATTTCTATCTTACATCCAATAATAAAATTAGCATGAAAGCAAATCATTTCATTAGAAGATAGTACATATTATACTGCAGACTGCTGCCCAAAGAGAGCTGGATACACTCTAGGTACACTGGCAGTGTACCTAAAGTTTCCTGGGATTGCTCTGGAGACTCCAACTGCAGATAGAGCCCAGGGAGACACTAGACCCCTCCTGTGAGGGGTTGCCGCTGCCTTATTCCTGCCACAGCCTCTGCTAATCAGATAGATTACTTCAGTTTAGACTTGAATGCTCATTGTGATATCTGGGTTTGCTAAAACCATTCTGAAGCCTCTATTACTTCTATTCTAATTCCCATTAGTTGCACTATCACTGACTTTTTGAAAATGGAGATTGTTTCCATGCCATCCAGGTTTGAGAAAAAACTAAAAACCTGCAAAGGGACCAGTTTAAATATTAATGAGAATGCTACCTTCTTATAATCTTGGACAACTATCATACTATCATGTGCTCCCTGTTGGTAGGAACACCCCTTCTTCATAGAGGAGTGCTGATTGAAAAAGCTCATTTGATATAGTGAGGTCTCAACAATTTATATTTCCTTTTGTTTATCACTATTTATCATTATTGGTAATCTGTAATACTTCATGGCTCAAGATTTCAGCTTAAATTCTGGGGGGTATTGAGTCTGTCTCTGGTGAACTTCAATATGAGAATATTTAACCTTTAATAATACGTAATTCAATCTGGGTCAAAAGTTCCAAAAAGAAGTTTTAAAATTTTAGACATTTTATGGAGATTCTCCTTATCATATTTTGTAATTCGCAGAAGTAAGTAAGCACTGGAAAAGTCTAGTTCATAGCATCCACATAATAATTATGAAAACTAGTATTTATTGAATGCATATACTTTATTTATTTACTCATCCTACATTATTTAGGCATCTGCTATGTGCCAAGAAAACTACTGATTACTGTTATTAATTGGTGAAGAAACCAGTTGCATTCTGGTGGGAGAAACTTGGTAGATGTTGTTTCGGTCTACTGAGATGAAAAGGGAATAAAAATGCAACAGTTTTGTTCTGGGGAACAAAGTGTATATTTTAGCTGTATTTGTATTGTGATGCCAGCAAAACACTCAAGTAGACCTGTTGAATATGTTGCTAGAGCTAAATGATCCTGGAGTTCAGAGGAGAGAGTTCCGGATGAGAGCTAATATCTTGAGAGTTGTTGGCGTGTGGTGCCTGTCATTATAATGTTTCTAGGCTTAGACGATCTTGTGAGAAAGTACTGGAATTGTCTTCATTTCACAGATGGTAAGACTAATAACTAAGGATCTAGGGAAGTTAAGCAACTTACAGGATGTCACATAGGTCACAGGTGACAGAATCTAGGTTTAGTTCTATGTGTCCCTTACTACAAGGTGTGAACTATTAACTATTTTTGTACACAGTCTGAACACAAGGACTCAGCCTTTTAGCTGATTGTAAACTGGATTCCACCCCACAAAAGGGAAGTGGTCTCTAAAAGGACAAAGATAGGTTTAGTGAAAATGATAGTTTAGGAAGGGAAAGATAGGGGAATCACAGAAGACACTGCTTAGGCCTTGGAGTTAAACAGATTTAGGGAAAATTGAGACATTCATTGTAAAAAATCCAGTCTTACCTTTTTTATTGGGGGATATTTGGTCTATGTTAAAAAAGGTTTGAAGAAGCATTTGTCCTGCCATACGTTGCTTCTCTTGCATAGAGTCTGCCATGACCCGAACTTTGTCTTCAGTTTTAGCATCGTAATATTTCTTTTTTTCCTCTTCCTTCCAGTTCAGTACATTTTGTTCCACCAAGTTATCCAAAACACCAGTGAGGAAATCTTTGCCCAGGGATTCCAACACCTTAAGTGGCTTTTTTCTGTGGTTGCCTTCTGTTAGAAATAGAAAGATTCCTTTAACTATGGGCACAGCTTAAAGAGTTTCACCCTCACTTTAGATATAGTTCTATAATGTGAAATACTTCTGAAAGTATGTCCTACTTCACCATCTGTCTTCTTGTACCTATAGAGTTCTGTCATTCATCATATTCCTACCAGGTTGTTTAACAATTTATTGCCACTAAATACTTTTTATTTTCTTTTTTGTTCTTTTTTCTTTTCTTTTCTTTTAGCTTCTCAACTTCCTTCTGTGGCATTGGACCTAATGCAAACTTCCTGGTCATCCACTGTATTCATTTTTCTCTTTTACTGGTTCACGGCCCATAGTGATAATGATCTGCCTAAAATATATATTCCCGGGAAAGTCAATGCTCTTGTCTAGAATATAAATTCTTCCTACTAGATTTTTACTTCCTATATGATTTTTACTCTTTTCTGTATTTAGTTTTCTTGGTGAAAGAACTATATCTTTGAATTTGCATTTTTTTAACTTACATCCTATACCCACATCTTTGTATTCAAAATGTTTAAAAGTACTTAATATGCTTGCTAAATACATAAATTAAAGAATAAATGGATGAGTGCATCCATATTTATAATTCTTTCAAATCTTGTTCTCAATGAAAATTTAAAATTGAAAGTAACCTGATTCCTAATCTTCCAGTGTGGTGGATTAGTTTAATTTGACACCATGTTAATGTATTACTCCTTAGAGTAATTTGAATATTTATAAGGAAATATAGATACCAAAGTAATACATCCTTTGTTTCAATACAACAGATATGATTTCGGCAGATTGTACACAGAAATGCTGGATATCTTATCAATTCTCAATCAATGCTACAAAGATAATTATACAATCCATGTAGATGTAAGGATAGTGCTGACAGAAAATGACATCTAAAGAAATCATGTCAGGACATTGCACAAAAGCTTTGGCACAGAAGCACCAGCCTCATTGTCTGGGTTATCTTGAATTAATATTTTCATACGTGCTTATTGGGCAGCTATTATGAGAAAAACATTAGACATTACAAACCAGGAAAAAAGTTACATAATATAAATTAACTTAGTAAAGGGTAATATCTCCCATGTACTTATTATAAATAAAAAATGAATGCATATAAAACAATTTAAATCATTATTATAATCATCATTATCATTTACATATCACTGTACCAAAGGTTTTACAAATGTTAATATACTGGACCCTCACAATAAGCCAGTGGGGTAGTTATTATATTCCCTATTTTATATTCACCATTTAAATAATAACTTATGTCACATCACATGAATTAGGATTCAAATCTTGTTTTTTTCACCATAGTCTATATAGTTAATCATGATATGGTTCAGTTAAAATAGTTAATATTCATTGAGCCCTCATCATGCCAAGTGCATTACTGAAATTTCACAAAAATTCCATATAAAACATATATTAACCTCTCTTATATGGAAAATGGAAGATAATAAGTAATTGACTCAAATAATGTAAAAGAACACCGAGTATATAGTAACTGGGAACAAGAATTGAAATCTAGGGGTTCAGAATCCAGAGCCCCCATTCTTAATTCATCAAACTACATTACCTGACAGTTGGTGAAGAGCTTCTTAAAAGAATGTAGACAAGATATTTAAGGGGCTCAGAAAACATTAGTGCATTCCAACAGGTGAGATCACAAAGGCTTCTGAGAAGAGGTAGCAAAAATGTTAGTCTTGCAACATCAGGTACAGATGTTGCAACACAGTGTGATTTGCAAACAGTACACAGATTAGTGTGTGGGATATCCAAACTACCTGAGTTCTGGGCTTCTGTTTTATTTATTTGTGTGCTCAGTAAACTAATATAGTGTTGACTGAATAAATGATATGTGAAGAAATATAATAAGCAATAAAATTGAAGAGTTTTTAACAAAAAAAGTCACATATGACAAACACACAGCTAACATCATACTCAATGGTGAAAAGTTGAAAACCCTTTCTCTAAGATCAGGAAGAAGACAAAGATATTCACATTTACCACTTCCATTCAACGTAGTTCTGACCAGAGCAATTCGCCAACAAAAAGAAATAAAAGGCATCAAAATTGGAAAGGAAGAAGTTTAATTGTGCCTGTTTAAAGATGAAATGGTCTTATATACGGAAAACCCTAAAGGATCCACCAAAAATCTTTTAGAACAAATAAACAGATTCAAGAAAATTGCAGGATAAAAAAAATCAACATACAAAAATCTGTAGTGTTTCTGTATAACAATAAACCATCTTTAAAAAATAAATAAATTTCCATTTAAAATTGCTGCAAAAATACTTAGAAATCAATTTAACCGAGTAGGTAAAAAACAAGTACACGTAAAAGTATAAAACTTCAACCCGATCAACATGGTGAGACTATGTCTCTACAAGAAATTTAAAAAGTTGGCTGGCCATAGTAGCATGTGTCTATAGTCCTTGCTTCTTGGAAGTCTGAGGTAGGAGGATTGCTTAAGCCCAGGAATTTGAGATTATAGTGAGCTATAATTGTGACACTATACTCCAGTCTTGGCTACAGAATGAGATCCTGTCTCAAAAATAACAGCAATAATAACAAATCTCAAAACTATAAAATATTGATAGGGAAAACTGAAGAAGACAAAAATAAGTAGAAATGTATTTTGAGTTGATGGACTGGAAAATTACTATTATTAAAATGTCCCTAATACCCAAAGAAATCTAAAGATACAATGCAATTCCTATCAAAATTCTAATGGCAGCTTTTACAAAAATAGAAACAAATCCTAAAATTTATATGGAATCACACACAAAAAAACAAACCCTGAATAGGCAAAGCAATTTTGAGTAAAGGGAACAAAGCTGCAGGCATCGCACTATCTGAGTTCAAAATAGACTACAAAGTACTACAGTCATCAAAATAGCACAATAGTTGCATAAAAATAGAAACAGAGAGCAAATGAACAGGACAGAAAACCCAGAAATAAACCCAATTATTTACATTAATTTGACTTTTCAACAAAGGTTTCATGAACACACAACTGGGAAAGAACAAATTCTTCAATAAATGATATTGGGAAAATTGTAAAACCACATGCAGAAGAATAAAAATCTCTAAACATATACAAAAATAAACTCAAAATGAGTTAAATATGTAAATGTAAGAACCAAAACTGTGAAACTACTAGAAGAAAACAGAGGGGAACAGCTTCATAACATTGGTCTAGACAGTGATTTTTGGATATGACAGAAAAGGACAGGAAACAAAAGCTAAAATATGCAAATGAAATTACATCAAACTAAAAAGCTTTTACACAGTCAAAGAAACAATCAAAAGATTAAAGAGATAATCAACAGTATGGTAGAGAAGATTTGCAAACCATACATCTGATAAAGAATTAATATGCAAAATACAAAGAACACAAACAATTCAATAGAAAGAAAATAAACTGATTTAGAAATAAGCAAAGGACCAGAATAAACACTTTTCAAAAGAAGACATACAGAGAATATGTATATGAAAAATGATCAACCTCTCTAGCCACCAGGGAAATTGAAGTCACAATGAAATATCACTTTGCACCTGTTGGAATGGCTATTACCAAAAAGACAAAAGATAACAAATGGTGGAGAGGATGTAGAAAAAAAGAAACTCTTGTACACTGTTGGTAAAACGTAAATTAGGCCCTGCGCAGTGGCTCACGACTGTAATCCCAGCACTTTGTGAGGTTAAGGCGGGCAGATCACCTGAGGTCAGTAGTTCTAGACCAGGCTGGACAACATGGTAAAACCCTGCTTCTAGTAAAAATACAAAAATTAGCCGAGCGTGGTGGTGGGCGCCTGTAATCTTAGCTACTCATGAGGCAGAGGCAGTAGAATTGCTGGAACCCTAGAGGCGGAGGTTGCAGTGAGCCTAGATTCCATGACTGCCCTCCAGCCTAGGCAACAGAGTGAGACTCTGTCTCAAAAAAAAAAAAAAAAAAAAAAAAAAAGAGTAAATTAGCATGGTCTTTATGGAAACCTATATGGAGACACCTCTGAAAGTTAAAAATAGAGCTAAAGATATGATCAAGCAATCCCACTATTAAGTATATATCAAAAATTGGAAAATCAGTGTCTCGAGGAGATATCTGAACTTCTATTTCCATTGCAGCATTATTCACAATAGCCAAGATATAAAATCAACCTAAATGTCTGTGGACAGATTAATAGATGAAGAAAATGTGGATTATATACAAAATGCAACACTATTCAGCTTTTAAATGGAAGTAAATCCTATCGTTTCTGACAATATTGATGAACATGAAGAACATTATATTAAGTAAAATAAGCCAGGCCAGGCACCAAAACACAAAATATCACATTATCTCACTTATACATAGACTCTAAACAGGTTAAACTCATAAAAGCAGAAGGTTGTACATAGAAAATATGTACAATGTTTATTTGTCAAATAAATAAATAAGTAAATTAAAAGTATGGCCTGAGGTATAATCTACACATTCTGATGGCATCCATTATATGCTTAAAAGAATAAATAAATCATTCTCAAATTTATGGATTCAGCCCAGATGTGGATGTCGGTATTGAAACCTATACATTCAATAGACAATGAGATATCTCAACTACATCTCACAACCTCATTTAACTCAACTTACAAAGATGAACTGTTCATTTTTTCATTTCCATCCTTCATTCTCTTTTCCATATACTAGTAAATAATACCTATACTCCAAGTACAAAAGAGCAGCAATACCTGGTGATATTCAACCTCTTTGGCCTTCTCTATGTCTTATTTCCCTTCTTAATTCACATTGCATCGATTTTATTTGCTAAACATTTTCAGAATCTGACCACTTCTCTCAATTCTAATTGTTCATTACTTCTATTCGGGCCAACATCCTTTCTTTCTTAAGAAATAAATTCATAAGAACTTTATCAATCTACTCTCCGTCCCTCTATTCTACTCTTTGCAACGAAGAGTGTTCCAATATCTAGATTTGACCATGAAAACTTTCAGCCTATTCTAATCTAGGCCTTCTCATTCACTCATTTTCTGATACTGTTCCCACCTTGCTCATTACATTCAAAACGTTCTGCCTTCATTTAATTTCTGGAAAGATTCTATTTAGGGGTCTCTGTATTTCCAGCCCCTACCTTCTCATTCATTCTTGTTTTCCTACTGCTGTCTGTCTAACCTTCAAGTCTCAGATTAGATGGCACCTTTCTCAGGGAATCAAGTCTCTACTTAGGGATCTGTATAGTTTCAGCACCCCCGCTTCTAATTTCTTCTGGTTTTTGAACTGTTCTCTGTCTATCTGTCTATCTGTCTATCCTTCAAGTATCAGATTAGATGGTATTTTCTTAAGGGAATCCTCTCTGATTCTTCCAGAGGAGACAGCATCAGAGATATATGCTCCTAGGGCACCTTGTATCTCCTTAGAGTAGCATTTTTTTTCCATTTATTTATTTATGTATTTATATATTTTTGTGAGACAGAGTCTCACTCTGTCACCCAGGCTGAAGTGCAGTGGTGCTATCTTGGCTCACTGCAATCTCTGCCTCCCGGATTCAAGCGATTCTCCTGCCTCAGCCTTCTGAGTAGCTAGGACTACAGGTGCACACAACCACGCCTGGCTAATTTTTGTATTTTTAGTAGAGATGGGGATTCACCATGTTGGCCAGGCTGATCTCGAACTCCTGACCTCAGGTGATCCACCCATCTTGGTCTCCCAAATTGCTGCTATTGGATTACAGGCCTGAGCCACCACATCCAGCCTTTTTTTTTATTTTTCCATTTAATTGTGATTCCCAGCCTACTTATCTCTATCCACTGTTAGAATTTATGCTCTGTGAGGACAGGGGCCATGAACTACATCTGCACTATTTTTGGCATTCTTTTTACTAGTTATTTACTGAATATTTACTAATTATTTACTGAATCAGTAGTCAAGTCCATGTAGGAACAAATGAATAAAACTTATGTGTGGCTCAACTCTTAAGGAATATGAAACCACCTTTGCAAAATTATAACTGAGGAAATTACAACAATGAACGAAATCAGACTGGGAAAGCCTTTGTGGCTACCTGCTTGTGGTTTGGTGCCCCCGCTCCAGCGATGGATCCAGAAGGTAGCCCAAGTAGCCGCCTAGTTCTCTTGGACTGGGGGCTGGCTCTGGTACTCTCTCCACTGGCAGGCACTGCCAACCCAATGTGCATGCATTTAATTGCAACGGAGAAATAATCCTGGAGAGATGTCCTCTAACTGTGGCCCTATCACAGGGTTTCCGTCTGTAGCTGCATTGAAGGGTGTCTGGATTGGTGAGTATCCTAGGTGCTGCCAATGCCTCCTTCCTTCTCCTGACTGGTTCTGTGGCCCCATAGTGGGGTGTCTGTCTGTAGCCCCATTGCAGGGTGTTAGGATTGGTGAATCTACTAGGCACTGCTAATGCCTCCTTCCTTCTCTCGACTTGTCTGTAGCTCTATGATGGGGTGTCTGTAGCCCCATTGCAGGGTGTCTGTAGCCCCATTGCAGGGTGTCTGTTTGTAGCTCCACCACGGGGTATCTGTTCGGCTCCACTGGGGTCTTGGTTGGCTCTAACTAGTAGGAAGAGTCTTGGTTCACGAGACTTGTCCTCAATCAGGACAATTTTGAGATTTCTCAGACAGAGAATAGGAGGATAGTTTGGAAGGGATACTCTTGGAGTTCCTGTTTAGGGATCATCTGATTTGGAAGGCCTTCTGTCTGTCTCATCTTCGTGTGTGTTTGTATATGTGGAGGGAATCTCAGAAGGAATTGCTGAAGGAAGTCCAGCAGGCCTAACTCAGAGGACTCTTCTTATTTGGTTACATTCGATGAGCCCTGGAGAAAGTTCAATAGGCCTGTCTCATGGTGACTATCTGCTCTTTGCCTTACCCAGAGACCCCATTGTGAATTACTGTTCTGAGGTCGTCCCTCCCCACCTGGAGTGGATCAAAGACAACAGGGACGAACAGAAAAAAGTCTGAGCTTTGCCAGGTTGATATTGGGTGCTGAACGAGGTGACTAGTGTCTGTTTTGTTATGT